>NC_000017.11:3369898-3521414 GCF_000001405.40 Homo sapiens | reverse complement strand
TGTTTAACAACCAGCTCACAAGCTTCATGAGAATTTAACGATCAGCTCTTGCGAGCTCTTCTGAGCTGGCTCCAGCATGCCACTGCCCCCAGCAAGTGTGAGGATTCCAGTGTGAGACCCTATGGTGAAAGGTACAGGGTGAATCACAGGGAGAAGAGAACCTGGGGCTGGAGCAGAAACAGAAGGCTTCCTGGAGGAGGCAGGATCCAGTGTTGAGCCTTGGAGCATCAGGAGGATTTGGCTGGGGGAAGGGAGAGTGGCCCAAGTGAAGAGACAGTTAGGGTGGGGGGTGGGAGAGGGTGGGAAGCAGGAAGATCAGGGTGCCGTGAATATGTGCTTGCACCTTACACTTGAATTATGTTTATTTCCTTATAGGTCATTTTGCATGATGTTCTGAAGTTCTTGTTTGTATATATCGTGTTTTTGCTTGGATTTGGAGTAGGTAATTGATTTATAAATAATAGTAACTCCCACATTTATAAACACTTTATACAGATGTCAAAATGGCAAAGTGCATGGCGGCCTTGGCAACAATTAGACCAACTACCAGTGGGGCACTTGCCATGCTTGGCATTTTCCAAGCATTACCTTTATATATATACATATATATTTTATTATACTTTAAGTTCTAGGGTACATGTGCACAACATGCAGGTTTGTTACATATGTATACATGTGCCATGTTGGTATGCTGCACCCATTAACTCGTCATTTACATTAGGTATATCTCCTAATCAAGCATTACCTTTTTACTTCTCTCAACAACTTGATCAAGTGGGAATCATCACCCCGATCATAAGGTAACTGAGGCTTAGAGACTCCAGGATTCAAACCAGGCCAGCCACTCATAATCCAACTTCACCATGTGGTATATACCTCTGGCTTTCCCATTCATTGCTTACGTGGCCCTCACGACCTAAGATAGGTTCTGCAAGTGTTTTCAGCCCCATTTTAACAGATGCGGAAACTAAAGTCCACAGAAACTCAACTGATGGTCTTTGCAAAGTAGGAGCAAACTAATACCCTGAGGTGATTTCCTTTGGATTTCACATCACGTTACTCTCACAGTTTGCTTTAGATACAACTGTGAGAGCCTCTCTGGTCTGCTGGGACCAGGAAGGAGCCCCCTCTTAAAATCTCTCCATTTACAACAGAGGGAACAGCACGATCTGGTTGTATTTCTAACCTCTGCATAGAGAGATATCATTTTCCCCCACGTACCAGTTGCTTTTTTTTCTTTTCTTCAGTGACCATTGACATTTGAAATTAAGTAGCTGTTTCCATCTGTCTGGTACCTTTTCTGGGTCACAATTTGCTTATTTATTTGCTCCTTCACCTGCTTGTTTATTCATCCATCTATTTACTCTCTCATTTAATTTGCTCATCCACCTGTCTATCCGTCCATCCATCCATCCATCCATCCATCCATCCATCCATCCAATCATTCATCCATCGATCCATCCATTGATCTATCCATCTATCCATCCATCCATCCATCCATCCATCCATCTAATCATCCATCCAATCATCCATCCATCCATCCATCCATCCATCCATCCATCCAGTCATCCATCCATTCATCCATTTAATCATCCATCCATCGATCAATCGGTCCATCCATCCAGCTATCCATCCATCCATCCATCCATCTAATCATTCATCCATCAATCCATCCATCCATCCATCCATCCATCCATCCATCCATCCATCTATCCATCCATCCAATCATCCATCCATCCATCGATCAATCAGTCCATCCATCCATCTAATCATCCATCTAATCATCCATCCATCCATCCATCCATCCATCCAGTCATCCATCCATTCATCCATTTAATCATCCATCCATCCATCGATCAATTGGTCCATCCATCCATCTATCCATCCATCCATCCATCCATCTAATCACCCATCCATCCATCCATCCATCCAATCATCTATCCATCCATCCATCTAATCATCTATCCATCCATCCATCCATCCATCCATCCAATCATCCATCCATCCATCCATCCATCCCTCCATCTAATCATCCATCCCTCCATCCATCCCTCCATATCCATCCATCCATCCATCCATCCATCCATCCAACCATTCAGCAGTGAACCTCTACTGTGGTGTGTTGGAAAGAAGGGAAGTGTGAGCCTGGTCTTGCTCACAGGGAACTCAAAACAGAGCATTAGGAGGAGACTCAGGATCTTACAGCCTTGAGGGAGGTGACCCAGGCTAGAGGAAGTCAGGAGCTCAAAGACTAGCTGGGGAGCCAGGGACACACACATGGATTATAATTAGTGGCTCTGCAAGGCTGCAAGTGATCAAGGGCAGACTGCGGGGTAAAGGAAGGAGAGAAGACTCTGGGCTTTGTTAGGTGGAAGGGCTTTCTGCAGGAGGCCAGGCCAGAGAAGCCAGCCTGATGAGGCTTTGAGAGGACCTGAAACTGGAGATGGGATTTAATGGCCAGAGAGAAGGAGGCAGCAGGCTTGTCATGTAGGCAAATACACGCAAGCTTGTAGAGTAATTACCAGGCAGAGAGCTGAGGAGAGCACCCTGTTATGTTCCCTTAGCCTTGGCCTCGCTGATCGAGAAGTGTCCCAAAGACAACAAGGACTGCAGCTCCTACGGCAGCTTCAGCGACGCAGTGCTGGAACTCTTCAAGCTCACCATAGGCCTGGGTGACCTGAACATCCAGCAGAACTCCAAGTATCCCATTCTCTTTCTGTTCCTGCTCATCACCTATGTCATCCTCACCTTTGTTCTCCTCCTCAACATGCTCATTGCTCTGATGGGCGAGACTGTGGAGAACGTCTCCAAGGAGAGCGAACGCATCTGGCGCCTGCAGGTGAGCCTAGGTGGAGACCCCAGCGTGGGGGCCTCCACGGGACTCAGTTCAGCACGTGGTCATTGACTACTGTCAGCACCAGTGGGTCTGAGGTGGGGCCTGAGAATCTGCACAAGCTCCTCAGTGTGTGGCCAGGTTTGAGGAGGCCTTAGCCTAGGTTCTTTGAGTGTAGGGTCTAGGGAGTGTGGCTGTGCAACAGAATGTGTAGAAAAACTCAGGCTCATGGGGGTGCTCTGCTCAGGGTTGACAGTGTGATGTGTGGATGTTGAAGTTTGACCTTAGGTTGCATTAAGAGGAGTACAGCGTCTAGGACAGTGGAGGTGACAGTTCTGCTCTATTCTATCCTGGCCTGAACACTTCTTACATGCTGAGGAAACCAATGCATAGGATGGGTTCAGAGGTGGTAACCAGGTTTGGGAGAGGACTGGAGACTGCCTCTTAAGAAATGGTGGTTGGCGGCCGGGCATGGTGGCTCACCCCTGTAATCTTAGCACTTTGGAAGGCCGAAGCGGGTGGATCACCTGAGGTCAAGAGTTCGAGCCCAGCTTGGCCAACATGGTGAAACCTCATCGCTACTAAAAATACAAAAGCTAGCCAGGTGTGTTAGTACGCACCTGTAATCCCAGCTACTTGGGAGGCTGAGGCAGGAGGATCGCTTGAACCCAGGAGGTGGAGGTTGCAGCGAGTTGAGATTGTGTCATGGCACTGCAGCCTGGGTGACAGAGCAAAAACTCTGTCTCAAAAATAGAAAAAAAAAAAAAAAAAGAAATGCTCATTGGAAAAAGGTGAGCGTGCCTTTGGATATCTGCAGAACAACCTATGAAAGAGGGAGCAGATCCCTTCTGTGGTCCTGGAAGGCAGATGTACATGGGGTTACTACAGGGAGAAAAGCTTTGATGTCACACATGGAAGTTTCTCTTTATTAAGGCCCTCCTTTTTTTTTTTTTTTTTTTTTTGAGACAGGGTCTTGCTCTGTTGCCCAGGCTGGAGTGCAGTGGCACGATTATCAGCTCACTGCAAACTCTGCCTCCCGGGCTCAAGTGATTCTCCCACCTCAGCCTCCCAAGTAGCTGGGATTACAGGCACGCGCCACCACACCTGGGTCATTTTTGTATTTTTTGTAGAGATGGGGTTTCACCATGTTGCCTAGGCTGGCCGCTTACTCCTGAGCTCAAAGCGATTCGCCCGCCTCAGCCTCCCAAAGTGCTGGGATTACAGGTGTGAGCCACTGCGCCTGTCCAAGGCCCTCTTAATTGGTTTGTTGATGCTATTCAAGAGAGACTGGAAAAATTATGGCCAGGAAACTGCAGAGAGATTCCAAGCCTGGGAGGGGGTGGGACAAATGATGTTTGAACGGTCCTCTGCTATGGGATTCCAGGACCCCAGCACTTTCAGATAGGAAGCTCCTGGGCTTTCAGAAATATTATTTATATCATGGAGTTTCGCTCTGTCACCCAGGCTGGAGTGCAATGGTGGGATCTCGGCTCACTGCAAACTCCAACCTCCAGGTTCAAGTGATTCTCCTGCCTCAGCCTCCCGAGTAGCTGGGATTATAGGCGCCTGACATACGCCTAGCTAATTTTTGTGTTTTTAGTAGAGACCGGCTTTTGCCATGTTGGCCAGGCTGCTCTCGAACTCCTGATCTCAGGTGATCCACCCGCCTTGGCCTCCCAAAGTGCTGGGATTACAGGCAAGAGCCAGTGCGCTCAGCCCTAATTTTTGTGTTTTTAGTAGAAACAGGGTTTCGCCATGTTGGCCAGGCTGGTCTCAAACTCCTGACCTCAGGTGATCCACGCACCTTGGCCTCCCAAAGTGCTGGGATTATAGGTGTGAGCCACCGTGCCCGGCCTGCTTTTTTGTCTTTGAATTCTGTAGATTAGCCAAACCCTTGCGATCTATGCATTAAGCATGAGGTGAGGGTGGAGTGGGCTCCCCGACAGTGTGTGTGCCCTTGTGTGTGCTTGTGAGTGTGGATGCCTACTCCTTAGACTTGCTTATGTCCCCAGAGAGCCAGGACCATCTTGGAGTTTGAGAAAATGTTACCAGAATGGCTGAGGAGCAGATTCCGGATGGGAGAGCTGTGCAAAGTGGCCGAGGATGATTTCCGACTGTGTTTGCGGTAACAAAGGGAGAAGGGCCCTGGGGTGGTGGTCTTTGGGGTGGGTAGAGAGGGGCAGGATGGTGACAGGATGTTAGAGAAACAGTGCCGCCACTTGCTAACCATAACCACAGCTACTGTCTCTTCCAGTGGCCTCCTTGGAAGAAGGAATTTGCTTATGGGGTTGCAGGCCCTGAGATGGGGGTTCCTGAGCTTCAGAAGAGAAAGAGAAGGAGACTGCCAACAGCGGCTCCCCTCTCTGCATTTTTCTTTCTTCTTTTATTTTTTTTTGAGACGGAATTTTGCTCTTGTTGCCCGGGCTGGAGTGCAATGGCGCAATCTTGGCTCATTGCAACCTCCGCCTCCCGGGTTCAAGTGATTCTCCTGCCTCAGCCTCCCGAGTAGCTGGGACTACAGGCATGCGCCACCACCCCTGGCTAATTTTGTATTTTTAGTAGAGGCAGAGTTTCACCATGTTGGTCAAGCTGGTCTCAAACTCCTGACCTCAGGTGATCCACCCACCTTGGCCTCCCAAAGTGCTGGGATTACAGGCATGAGCCACCGCACCCAGCCCCTCTCTCTGCTTTTTTGGAGGTGCCTCCATGGTCTCTCTGTGTTCGCTATCTGGTTTAGGGAAGATCTGCCTGCTGGGTACTCCTTTTCCTGCTGTTTACCCTGTGTGAGTTCCTGTGACCCCGGGTGACTTGAGGCCCCTTTTGCCCCTGGCAGATGGAAAGTGACGTGGCTACTTTGACAGATCTCTGGCTTTTTGCATTTTTTTTTTAAAGTCCTTACATATCCTATGACCACCTTTTCTTTTCTGTTTTTTTAAAAGGAGTTCCAGGCTGGAGTGCAGTGATGCGATCTCTGCTCACTGCAACCTCCGCCTCCCTGGTTGAAGCGATTCTCCTGCCTCAGCCTCCCCGGTAGCTGGGACTGCAGGCATATGCCACCACGCCTGGATAATTTTTGTATTTTTATTAGAGACGAGGTTTCATCACGTTGGCCAGGCTGGTCTTGAATTCCTGGCCTCAAGTGATCCACCCCCCTCGGCCTCCCAAAGTGCTGGGATTACAGGCGTGAGCCACGGTGCCCGGCCCCATGAACACCTTTTCTGATAAGCCCACCTCCTCCTACCCTGACCCAACTGCCTGAGCCTACAGACCACCTTCTCGGAGTATGACCATACCTTAACCCACTTCTCTGACTGAAACCGCGCCCCGTGGAAAGCATCATTTCTGACTGCAATCATTACCCTAACAAACAGTTGTGATGTTGCCACCCTCACTCTAGAGATGTTCTCTGGGTGTGAATTGAAGTCACATCAATGCCTATGGTTGTATTCTAACACCTCAGACGCCACCCACTCTTGTTGGGGCACTGACCCTAACCACAGGCTCTTCGTGCTTCCTCAACCCCTGCTACACTTGGAGTTTAATCTTCACACCCTCGTGGCCCGGGCCCTCCCTCTGTCTGTCCCCGCTTCCCCTTGGGCTGTCACCAGTCAGGCACAGCAGCTGTTGTCTGAAGTTGGACCCTTTACACCTGTCTGGGCAACTTGCAGGATTTCCGAGTTCCCTACAATGGAAGGAGAACTGATTCTCTGAGGCCTGGGGACGTGGAGATGGGGATAGAGTTCAAACTCCAACAACTTTGGTGTGACCCCTCGGGTCAGGGGTGCTCCTGATCTCTAGGACAGACAGAAGGGGAGCTGTGTAGACACCAGGACGTCCCAAACGCAGGGCTATTTGTTAGTACTCAGTGAGGCACTGGTGAAATAGTAAGAATGATTATCACATTTGCAGGATCAATGAGGTGAAGTGGACTGAATGGAAGACGCACGTCTCCTTCCTTAACGAAGACCCGGGGCCTGTAAGACGAACAGGTACTGTCGCTGTGAGGTGACATGGTGTCCGCTCCTGTCTCAGACCATGTAACCTTGGGCAGATCAAGTCTAAGGGTCCTGACTTTCCCCATCTGTCAAATGGGAGGGTTGAATGGAAATGCTTCTTAGGTCTCTTCCAGCTCTGACTTTTAGAACCCTAGTTGGCACAACTTTTAAAATGGCGTAGCCCTAAGCCATAGAAACACATCATGCAGGCCGGGCGCGGTGGCTCGTGCCTGTAATCCCAGCACTTTGGGAGGACGAGTCGGGTGAATCACCTGAGGTCAGGAGTTTGAGACCAGCCTGGCCAACATGGTGACACCTTGTCTCTACTAAAGATACAAAAATTAGCCGAACGTGGTGGCAGGTGCCTATAATCCCAGCTACTCGAGAGGCTGAGTCAGGAGAATTGCTTGAACCTGGGAGGTGGAGGTTGCAGTGAGCTGAGATCACACCACTGCACTGCAGCCTGGGTGACAAGAGGGAAACTCCATCTCAAAAAAGAAAAAAAAGAAAAAGAAAAAAGAAACACACTATGCAGAGTGATATATTTCTAAAATATATATTTTTTTAAAAAGCAGATTTCAACAAAATCCAAGATTCTTCCAGGAACAACAGCAAAACCACTCTCAATGCATTTGAAGAAGTCGAGGAATTCCCGGAAACCTCGGTGTAGAAGCGGAACCCAGAGCTGGTGTGCGCGTGCGCTGTCTGGCGCTGCAGGCGGAGTCACCGACTCTGTGCAGAGAGGCTTTGAGGGATGGTGGAGTCCGGCTCTGCTGGCCTAGAAGCAGAGTGCACCCTCGTGCTCAGTGCTCAGTGGGTGTCTGAACTGAGGGGCAGTTGTCAATTTGTCTGAGTGGGAAACATCCTGGATTTTGTTACTTGGCAAACAGCTGGTGTAAACCTACAGCCAGCAGCAGTCTGGAGCCTGGGAGCCTCCTGAAGTCCCGGGTGAAGCCTCTGGTTTTACCAATTGCAGGTCGGCTTGGCTGGGAGAGATGGATGGCGGGAAAGGGGCAGCAGTCTTGAGGAGCAGGGAGAGGAGTCTTTCCTCCTGCCAGCTTCCCCCGTCAGCCCCAACCCCAGCCCACACATTGTACCATCTCTTCTGCTGTGACTGGGTTGCCTGAATTTGTGGGAGACCCGTGATCCCATCCCAGAGTGTGCGGGGGACGGAGGTAAGCTGGATATCCTGGGGGAGGAGGGGAATGCGCTCTGGAAACACCCTTCCGGAACCCTTCGGGGAAAAGGAGACCATCCTTGGAGTGAACGTCCCCTGACACCCCAAGGTTCAAACTGTCTCAAGCTGAGAGATGTTTTTAGTAGCAGAATTAACACAGGGTTTTAACTTGCAATACGGAAAAGACATTTCAGTTGAGAATGAAAATTACTACAATGAAGTTTGTGATTTTAAAAGTGGAGACAGACTGGGGGCTTTGGGGCTGGATGTAAGTATTATATATTTGGCCTCAGGGTGCCCAGAGCAAGACAAAAAGCTTTTCTTCACACACACAAAAGTCTGCATGAGACACTCCGGGCAAGTCCTGCTGGGCCGCCGCGATCTGGGTGAAAGGTCCTGGCTCTTTTCCTCGTCCTGACCTCACAGTAGCGCGTGCCTGTGTGCTGGGATCGTGGCTTTCGCTGAAGCAGAAATAGCAGCTGCTCGATCGATATCATCTTGGAACTCAGCAGTTAGTCGCATACCTCAGTATGTCTCAGTGGGGGAATTTAACAAAATGCCTCAACTGCTTTGGTACGAAGTATTTTTTTTTTAATTTTAACTGTGAATTTTGAAGCTGAAGGGGAAGCTTGTGAGAGAAAAGCATTTGCCAAGACTTTGAGCTTATTTTTAGGTCCTCGTCCTCTGATGTTCTCTTTCTGAAATGACACGGAGTCAGTCTGGGGGGCAGAGGTGAAGTGGAGACGGAAGGATTTTCCAGGTGACTGGGGCCGAAACCACCAGAAAATCCACTCTGCCGCCGTTATCTGGTGAAAGGATTCATGTAAAAATGTTCGAGGTGGAATTATAAAAATAGTAACCATAAATGTTAATCTTAAATGGCAGAAATAGAAATTTGGCCTTCAGATAACATGGCGATAGATAAGTTCATCTGGCTTGAGGCAAACTGAAGAGTCGGGGCCTAGCAGTGCACTCTGGGCCAGTTTCTCTGCCCTGGGCCACTCTGTGTGCCAGACTAGCTGGACAGATAGAGACTTTGTGCCCCTGATGGGGCCGATTGGGGAGAGGTGGGCTGGGGTGTGTGAGGCTTCACAATCCACAGCAGCCCCTGCCCTCCCAGCTGACCCAGGGAGTAATCGCGTGCTCTAAGCCACAGTGGTCGGGGCTGGGCATGGGCCTCTGGAGAAGAGAAGATTTGAGGAGAACTGTCCTAGAGGCAGGAGGAGCAGATGTGTTTCAGAATGGGCAGAATTAGGAAATTGAGAAAGATTTTGGCTCAACAGAATCCAGCAACTGCTCCAGATGTTGGAGATGTTTAAGCAGAAGCTGGTTGCGCACTTAATGAGGAATGTTGTTGAAAATGGTCATTGGAAGAAGTTTAAGGTCCCTTTTAGCCTGGAGATTGTACAAATCAGCATTCCACATCTGGAGTTAGCTACCCGCATTAAGCCTGAACAGACATCTTGGTCTGAAAGGAAGTGGTTTGGATTCATGATGCCAAGCTCCACACTATGGAGCTGGGAATTCCAGAATTGCTTTGACTCAGATATTAATGGAGAAAGTCATATCCATTAATGGATAAAGCCGTATCTGTTATGGATAAAGCCGTATCCAGAGTTGCTTTGACTCGGATGTTAATGGATAAAGCCAATTATTGATTTCTATTTGCCTAACCTGCCAGCTTTTGTCCAAGTGGGGAATGGAGAGCCATAGGGATGTTTGTCATCTCACATGTTTTGGTGATCTGCTGTCTGTGGGTCTGGATGGAATTTGTTGGCAAGACCATTTTCTGTATTGGATATTCTTCCCAACAGTGTCCACCCCAAAAGGCTTTCAGCCAAAACGTCTGAGCCTAGGTAGGTTTACCAAGGGAAGCCATAAGTCAAGAAGCATCAGAGTGAAAAGGAGCACTTCCTTCATTTTACGCCCAGAGGCTAATGCTCCGAGAGGAATGTGTACTTGGGCAAAGTCATGCAGGAAGGTCATATCAGAGCTGTGGAGGCTGGAGTGTCCTGATTCTTGGACCACAGATGTCTCCCTGAGCCATTATTTATTTATTTTTAAAAAGCACAGTTATTCCATCATTTTGAGTCTTTGTATTTCGCTTATATTGGGGGGCAGGACTATTTTCTCAGGTGTCTCATTTGGCAGTCAACATTGTCCCCTATGTTCCCTATGACTAGTTGAAAATTCAAGTGTGCCCACAGGGGTGCACAAAACCACACCCATGCACACACACACCCTCAGCCCCCACACACACCCCGTTGAACCCGTGGGTCTATCAGGACATCCTAAAACTCCGTGATTGACATTTCAGTAATTTCAGGGGAAGGTGTTTTCCAGGGATGGGGTCTCCCAGGTTCAGATAGTGCCTTTGGCTGCAAATGCTCCTTTAGCTAAACTTTTCCTCAGGAAGAATTCATTATTCTAGACATTATGTGATATATCTGTTAGGAATAAAAGGTGCTTAACCTTCCTCCCTGGGATGTGGGAGAAGGTGCTGGAGGTTGTACTGTGAAGTCTTCAGGCTCTTAGAAGGCTCCAGCCTGAGAGAGCCCTTTATTATTGACATTCCTGTCCTTCCTCAAGGCCTGGTGACCTGTGACCTTTCGCTCTGGGCAGGGCCCAGGTAGATGGGCCGTCATCCGGGCCTGTAAGCCGTACTTGATTTCTGCATTGATTTACATATTTTTTACTGTGATCTTGGTTCCAAACACAGAATCGTCACCCCATTCTCCCTTGAATGTGCCGGATCCTTGTAAATTCTCATTTACCTACTTGTTCTTAGTGTGTATGTGTGTGCGAAACTCTATGTTCAAGAAAGAAATCATACAAAGAGTAAGAACATGTTTGTGCCATTGAAGAAATGGTTTTTTGATTTCTAATAAATATTTGTTTTGCCTCGTTATGGCCACGTTTTATCCTTGCGTTAGGTGTGCCAATGTGCAGATTGACTAGAAACCCTAGAGTGTTGTTAACAGGAGTGGGTAAAGGGAAGGCCCGTTTTTGGACCTGAAGCATTATCATTGGTTCCGGCTTAGGAACAGAGCCAGCAAGCCATAAGGCATGTCACCTTTGTACGTATTTGCATCTCAAAGCGCATTCACATCAGGTAGTCAATTCGAACCACTCAGCAGCTTTGGAAGCAGTTTCAATAAAAGGAGACTCACGGGCTTGAAGTGATGTGCCCAGGGATTCACAGCCACATAATGTCAGTGGTTCAGGCCATGAAAGCCCTCAAAGAGTGCTCTATCCACTTCTGCACAGCAAAACAAACTACCATCAGAGTGAACAGGCAACCTACAGAATAGGAAAAAATTTTTGCCATCTACCCATCTGACAAAGGTCTAATATCCAGAATTTACAAGTAACTTAAACATATTTACAAGAAAAAAACAACCCCATCAAAAAGTGGGCAAAGGATATGAACAGACACTTCTCAAAAGAAGACATTTACGTGGCCAACAAACATATGAAAAAAAGCTCATCATCACTGGTCATTAGAGAAATGCAAATCAAAACCACAGTGAGATACCATCTCACGCCAGTCAGAATGGCGATTATTAAAAAGTCAGGAAACAATAGATGCTGGAGAGGCTGTGGAGAAATAGGAACACTTTTACACTGTTGGTGGGAATGCAAATTAGTTCAACAATTGAGGAAGACAGTATGGCGATTCCTCAAAGATCCACAACCAGAAATACCATTTGACCCAGCAATCCCATTACTGAGTATACACCCAAAGGAATGTAAATCATTCTACTATAAAGACACATGCACATATATGTTTATTGCAGCACTATTTACAATAGCAAAGACATGGAACCAACCCAAATGCCCATCAATGATAGACTGGATAAAGAAAATGTGTTATATCTACACCACGGAATACTATACAGCCATAAAAAGGAATGAGATCATGTCTTTTGTAGGAACATGGATGAAGCTGGAAGCCATCATCCTCAGCAAACTAACACAGGAACAGAAAACCAAACACCACATGTTCTCACTCATAAGTGGAATTGAACATTGAGAACATATGGACACAGAGACGGGAACAACACACACCAGGGCCTGTTGGGGGGTAGGGGGTGAGGGGAGGGAACTTAGAGGATGGATCAATAGGTGCAGCAAAGCACCATGGCACACGTATACCTATGTAACAAACCTGCATGTTCTGCACCTGTATCCCCCCCTTTTTTTTTTGGAAGAAATAAAAAAAATGAGGGCTCTATCCATCATGGCTGTTGGCTGTCAAATTATTTTGAGTGAATAGAAACCCATGGTTCCACCTGGAGAACAGAAGGTATAAATCCCTCCTGTCCACCACGCAGGCTTTTCACAAGGAGGCAATGAGAGAATAGATAGGAAAGAGCTGATGTTCTTACTATCATTATTGCCGATCAGCCTAATTCATAGGTATATTCAGTTCTTCATTCCTTTGAGTGATTTCATAAGGATGGCAGTTCTTAACTTGAATGCCAAGTCTTTTTTTTTTTTTTTTTTTTTTTTATACTTTAAGCTTTAGGGTACATGTGTACGATGTGCAGGTTAGTTACATATGTATACATGTGCCATGCTGGTGCGCTGCACCCATTAACTCGTCATTTAGCATTAGGTATTTCTCCTAATGCTATCCCTCCCCCCTCCCCCCACCCCACAACAGTCCCCAGAGTGTGATGTTCCCCTTCCTGTGTCCATGTGTTCTCATTGTTCAATTCCCATCTATGAGTGAGAACATGCGGTGTTTGGTTTTTTGTCCTTGCGATAGTTTACTGAGAATGATGATTTCCAATTTCATCCATGTCCCTACAAAGGACATGAACTCATCATTTTTTATGGCTGCATAGTATTCCATGGTGTATATGTGCCACATTTTCTTTATCCAGTCTATCATTGTTGGACATCTGGGTTGGTTCCAAGTCTTTGCTGTTGTGAATAGTGCCGCAATAAACATACGTGTGCATGTGTCTTTATAGCAGCATGATTTATAGTCCGTTGGGTATATACCCAGTCATGGGATGGCTGGGTCAAATGGTATTTCTAGTTCTAGATCCCTGAGGAATCGCCACACTGACTTCCACAATGGTTGAACTAGTTTACAGTCCCACCAACAGTGTAAAAGTGTTCCTATTTCTCCACATCCTCTCCAGCACCTGTTGTTTCCTGACTTTTTAATGATTGCCATTCTAACTGGTGTGAGATGGTATCTCATTGTGGTTTTGATTTGCATTTCTCTGATGGAATGCCAAGTCTTGACTGCTTGTCTTGATGGGTTGTGGAACTTGCAACCAATTTGTTAATAAGTGAAATACTGCATTTGGTGAATTATTTACTTAATTCAGATGATTCCCAGAATAACTTCCTTCACTGGGATGTATCTTGTTGAGTGGCAGCAAGACAGGGATTGTACGTGATTCACATCCTAGCTTAATAGGCGTTAGTCCAAAACCTAGGAATGTGCCATCCATGGGGATGTTTTGGGTGGACGGGTAGAAAAAGGGTGGAAACCCTTGTCATAGGATATATTTCTGGGAAGGAGATGCCTAGGTCAATTGGTTTCAACATTTTTATGGTTCTTGATACTCTGAGAAATTACCTCCCCAAAGGATTCCTTCAATGCGTTCAGCCTTTGAGATTGTATGCTACACTGTTTACAAAGCTCTTCCGGTCATGTTGGTTATTGTTTTGTAGGTTTGGTGAGTGTCGTATCCCAGTTTAATAGGTAGGGAAATCGAGACTTGGAGACAGACGGAATGACATGCGAAGTTCACAATCCTTTCTCCTGGCTGGAGGATCCAGGTTCTCTGAAGTTTAGTTAGTCTAGTATCAAGAACTACCATTTTTCTCACTGCACCAGCAACCCCTCTGACAGTAACAGCAAAGTTCTGCAGAAAGGATTCAGTCCAACTCAAAAAATGTATCTCACTTACTATGTGTGAAGATTTAGAACCAATTCAACAAAAATTGAACATGAAGTATGGGCAATGATAGATGATACAAATATAAGTAAGACAGTTTCTTCCATTTAAGATGGTGGTAGGAGGGGAGAAGGACATGAATATTTATAAAGTGCCATGCACTTTACATACATGTCTCATTTAATGTTTATAGCAACCCTTGTTACTGTCCAGCTGTTCTATTTCTTTCATCGGTTTTCTGTTTTATTTTTTAAAACCATCATATTTTGTTATTTCAAAACCATCATACTTCTTAAACCTGTGACCCCACCATTTCCATATCAATAGCTGTAGTAGGTTTTATCCCTTATTTTACAGTGAAAATGGAAGCCATAAGTTGGAAACACCTTCAACTTGTGACCACCAAACCTGTGAATTTATTTGCACCCACATTCCTAAGCTTTGGTTGCCTTCGCCTCCCCACTCCCTCCTCCCCTCCCTCCCTTCCTCCCTCCCTTCCTTCTCTTTTCCTTCTCTCTCTCTTTCTCTCTCTCTCTTTTTCTGTCTTTCCGACAGAGTCTTGCCTTGTCACCCAGGCTGAAGTGC
This sequence comes from Homo sapiens, assembly GCF_000001405.40. Lineage (NCBI taxonomy): Eukaryota > Metazoa > Chordata > Mammalia > Primates > Hominidae > Homo > Homo sapiens. The sequence continues at coordinate 3,506,903 of NC_000017.11, read as the reverse complement.
AATGGCATGATCTCGGCTCACTGCAACCTCCACCTCCCGGCTTCAAGCAATTCTCCTGCCTCAGCCTCACAAGTAGCTGGGACTACAGGCACCCGCCACCAAGCCCAGGTAATTTTTTGTATTTTTAGTAGAGACGGGGTTTCACCATGTTGGCCAGGCTGGTCTCAAACTCCTGACCTCAGGTGATCCACCTGCCTCGGCCTCCCGACGTGCTGGGATTACAGGTCCCTGTGCGTGGCCCTGCCTTTCACTTAGAGCAAGAAAACTCCTGTCTAGGGACCTCTCTCTATGCTCTCTATGCTCTTGAGCTTTCTTATGTTTCAAGACTGTGAAAGTTATTCTTTCCCTTAATATGTAGTTTCTAAAAATGACGTTTTTCTGTTAAACATTTAGTCTATCTGTAGCTAATGGGGCTTTAGTATTTTTTTCCCCTTAATTATACTACATTAATCCCCTATAGACCTCAGTTTTTTGGTTGACTTTGTTTGCTAGTCAAGTTCCTGTTCTTTTCTTGGCAGAATGGGGGAAACTTTAGTGCTGTTTTTGCTTTGATGGGATGTAAGCTTCTGGGCTGTGCCATTGACTTTGTGGTGTGTGCAGGTACCTCCCTGGAGTTTCATATTGTGCAACCCACCAAGCCTGATGGGGCAGCCCTGGGCGAAGTCCTCTCTGAGTGACCCTCTCAGTCATCGGCTTGGTAGGTGTTCAGGAACTACTGTCTGCCAAGTACTAGACTAGGGTTTTTGGTGTGTCTGCTTTGGGAACAGGCATACAAAGGTCTCTACAGGTAGATCACAAGCCTCTTGAAGGCAGTATGTGTGGGAAGTATAGAGATATTAGAAAAGCAGCCGGGCATGGTGGCTCACGCCTGTAATCCCAGCACTTTGGGAGGCCAAGGTGGGCGGATCACCTGAGGTCAGGAGTTCGAGACCAGCCTGACCAATATGATGAAACCCCATCTCTACTAAAAATATAAAAATTAGCCAGGCTTGCTGGCGCATGCCTGTAATCTCAACTACCCAGGAGGCTGAGGCACGAGAATCGCTGGAACCCGGGAGGCAGAGGCTACAGTGAGCGGAGATCATGCCACTGTACTGCAGCCTGGGTGACAGAGTGAGACTCCGTCTCAAAAACAAAAAAAAAAAAACAAAAAACAACAAACAAACAAAAAACCCCTAAGCAGCTATTTCCCTCCAGACTCTGTTTTTGTCGGATATGCAAATATGGGCCTTCAGACGCTCCCTGGTCCTGCTGCCCTGGAACATCCATGACCCGTATAGGCCTCTCTCCCTGGTCACCCCCATGGGACTCTCAGGCTTCAGGGTTTCCCCAGCTGCCACTTTTCATTTGCTCCTCCTATTGGAGCACTGCCTGTATGTGGTTCACCATTCCCACTCTCTGTGGTCTCCAGTGGCTATCTTGGGGTCACCCTTGTGAGGGAAGTGACAACCCGCTCTTCCAAAGAAGCCCTTCCAGATAGCTTCACACTCAGCAGAGCAACTCTCATTTATCCAGCAAAACGCACTGAGCTCCTTCTATGCGTGAAGTGCTGTGTGTACGACAAAGAATAAGACAAATGCTATCCCTGCTTTCTTGGAGCTTTTGCAGTTTAATCAGAGACAGACAATAACTTCACCTGCCCCGGTGTCATAAAGCATTACGGTTGCAATTTGGGTAAGTGCCAGTCTAGTACTGGCAATGAGCTTGTATAACAGAGTGGCCTAACCTAGCCTGAGTCATGTTTAAGAGTAGCGTCATTTAGCTAATGGAAGTGTGGAGATGGGGAAGCGTTTCAGTAAGTGGGAAAATGTGGGCAAAGGTGGTAGGGAACTTTGTGCATCTGAGGACTGGAGAAGTCTTATGTGGCCAAATTGCTGGGAGCAAGGGGCCAAGTGACATGAAATAAGGCTAGAGGGGTGGGCAGAGGCCAGTGCATGTAGGACTTGGACAGCCGTGGTGAGGCTTTGAGATCTCATAACAAGGGTAAGAAGCCACCAAAGGATTGTAAACAGGGGAATTGTTGAGTGTGAACATTTCCTTGTTTTAGCCTGGTGCGGCGGCTCCTGCCTGTAATCCCAGCACTCTTGGAGGCCGAGGTGGGTGGATCATCTGAGTTCGGGGGTTCGAGACCAGCCTGACCAACATGGAGAAACCCCGTCTCTACTAAAAAAATACAAAATTAGCCAGGCGTGGTGGCGCATGCCTATAATCCCAGCTACTCAACAGGCTGAGGCGGCAGAATCGCTTGAACCCAGGAGGCAGAGGTTGCGGTGAGCCGAGATCATGCCATTGCTCTCCAGCTTGGGCAGCAAGAGTGAAACTCCATCTCAAAAAAAAAAAAAAAAAAAAGAAAAGAAAATTTCCTTTTTTTTTTCCCATGGATTTGCAGACTTAAATGGTTGTTTTTTCCTTCCACTGTCCTTTGGGACATAGTAACAGTCTGGAGGGTGTAAAACGAAGTGTTTCACTTGGGAGTGATGGGGACAGTTCTCAGGAGGTGACTGGGAAGGAAGATAAAAAGAAAGGCAGGGCCATTGGTGGAAGATGAAGATGTTCCAGTAGAGAAGGGATGTTTGAGCATGCTCATTTATTCAACTCACCTCTATTGGTCACTTTCTAGATTGTAGACATCGAAAAAGACACTGCTGATGCCCTCAAGATGGGATAGAAGGAGGGGCAAAGTGGCAACAAAGTCAGGTCGACGAAGACCATGTTGGCTATGAAATGAAAGTTGGGTTGCATTTTGAAGGAGAAAAAGGCATTATTGGCTAGAGCGCAGTCTGAGGTGGGGTGGGAGGTGGAGGACAGTGGGGGAGAGTTCTGGGTAGGGGAGTCAGTCTATGTAAAGGCCTAGAGGAATAAACAGTGGGAAGGACACTGGAGTGGAGATGGCCCAAAGGGAGATGAGTGTAGGGAGGCGTCGGGGAGGGAGGGCAGATCAGGAAGGGCCTTTTGTGCTAGGAATTTGAACTTCAGTGATTTGTTAAGTATGTATTCTGTGCTAAGCACTGAGCTAAGTGCTTATATGTCTTAGCCCACTTAATCCTCACAGTAACCCCATGAAAGGGGCACTATTATTATTATCATTCCCATTTTATAAATGAGAAAAATGCAAATGTAGATTGTTAGAAATAATCAAAGTAAAATAAAACTCAAAGTGGCTAAAACCACACAGCAATATGTTATAGATTAAAAACAAACAAACCAACCACACATCTAATTAGAAACTTTAAAGACTGTAAAAGGGAAGATTAGACTTGATAGGAATAATCAACCCTGAAACCCACTGAAACCACAGTGATATAAATTGTACACTGTAAATTTTACAAATAACTAAAATTTGAGGGAAGAATATTCTTGCCAAAATTTTCATCTGGAAAAAGCTGACCTAGAAAAATTGGACTCAGAAATAGGACACAACGGAACATTCACAGCAGGAGAAGGAAGCTTGGTAAATCTTATGTACAAAAGCTGATAAATCACATTTTTACTACAGAATTCAGAAGGAAGAGAGTTTATTCCAATGTAAATAATTTTGGTAAAGTACAAAAATAGAAAAAAATGCTGAAAAATTTAGAAAGAATATGGGCTTTCCAGAACACTGAGTATGGAGTAAAACTGGCATAGTGGGGTTCACTTTGGAAGAATGAAAATGTATAAATATATAATATTTATTCATTCATTCATTCATTCATTCATTCCAGATAATGTTAGTATTTTTGGTAAATACATTTGAAACTATGATTATGGATTCATTGGGGGTACAGATCATGGAATAAAAACACTCTTTATTGGCTGCTGTGGCCTAAGAGGATGGCGGGGAGGGCCCTGGTGGGGCTGGAGAGGGAGGGGGCGGCGTCCAGCAGAAGGTCCTTTGAGGAGAAGAATCATGGGAGGCAAGGGGTTTGGGCATTTAGGACATGGCAGGACTTCTTGAAAGACTGTATTTGCAAACCATAGCTGTGGGTCACATTTCTATGTGTGTCCAGTGCCCTGTTGTTGACTTTCACCACCTCTGCTGGCAACAGCTGGAGCCCAAAGACCTCCTCACACCTTGCCTGCGAATAAGGGTGGGCATATTCTTTCAAAATGAGAAGTGACAGCTGTGAAGAATAGGCCTCTTCCAAATTTTCCATGTTGGGAAGAAACATTAGCTCCTCAGGGGGTGCGTGAGGTGTCTGAAGGAGGTTCTCTGCTCCATGAGGTCAGTGCAGAGCAGTGGGCATGCCACAGTAGCAATGCTGTGTGGGTTACTGTTTGTGGACAAAGGGCCATTCAGTTTCTTAATATAGTCATATGTCATCTTTACCATTAAGCCCTTGTTTCTCTTTCATATTTCATCTACAAAACAGCACTTAAAAGTCTCCTCTGGATTTCGCAACGAATGCTGAAGTTTATAGACTGGACGCTTAGTATATTACCATTAACCCAAATATAAAAATTGAAAAAAATAGCAATTCTGCACAACTCATTTCTACTAGCACTTATACATTACAGGCATACCTCAGAGATATTTCAGCCTTGGCTCCAGATCACCACAATAAAACAAACATTATAACAGATGAGCCACACATATTTTTTGATTTTCCAGTACGTGTAAAAGTTATGCTCACACTATATGTAGTATGTTAAATGTGTAATAGCATTATATCTAAAACATGTACATTCCTTCATTAAAAATGCTTTATTGCTAAAAAAGCTAACCATCATTTGAGCTTTCAGCAATTCATGATCTTTTTGCTGGTGGAGGGCCTTGCCTTGATGATGGCTGCCTGATCAGGGTGGTTGGGCACTGAGGGTTGGGATGGCCGTGACAATTTCTTAAAATAAAACAACAAGTTCGCTGCATTGATTGACTCTTCCTTTCGTGAAAGATTTCTCTGTAGCATGAAATGCTGTTTAATAACATTTTATTCACAGTAGAACTCATTTTTTTTTTTTTTTTTTTTTTGAGATGGAGGCTTGCTGTGTCCACCAGGCTGGAGTGCAGTGGCGCAGTCTTGGCTTACTGCAACCTCTGCCTCCTGGGTTCAAGTGATCCTTCTGCCTCAGCCTCCCAAGTAGCTGGGACTACAGGCACGTGCCACCACGCCTGGCTAATATGTTGGTATTTTTAGTAGAGAGGGGGTTTCACCATGTTGGCCAGGCTGGTCTCGAACTCCTTACCTCAGGTGCTCTGTCTGCCTTGGCCTCCCAAAGTGCTAGGACGACAGGCATGAGCCACTTCTCCCAGCCGAACTCATTTCAAAATAGGAGTCAATCCTCTTAAACCCTGCTGCTGCTTTATCAACTATGTTTACGTAATATTCTAAATCCTTTGTCATTTCAACAGTGTTCACAGCATCTGCAACAAGAGTTGATTGCAGCCAAGAAACCACTTTTTTGCTCATTTATAAGAAGCGACTCCTCATCCATTCAAGTGTGATCATGAGATTGCAGCAGTTCAGTTACATCTTCAGGCTCCACTTCTCATTCTCTTGCTGTACATCTGCATGACTTCCTTTACTCAAGTCTCGAATTCCTCAGAGTCATCCAAGAGGGTTGGAATTCACTTTTTCCAAACTCCTGTTAATGTTGATATTTTGATCTCCTCCCACGGATCCTGAATGTTCTTAATGGCATCTGGAATGCTGAATCCTTTCCAGAGGTTTTCTGTTTACTTTGCCCAGCTCCATCAGAGGAATCACTATCTATGGCAGCTATAGCCTTATGAAATGATTTTTTTCTTCCTTTCTTTTTTTTCTTTTTTCTCCCCTCCCCCAGCCTGAAATGTATTTCTTAAATAGTTAGATTTGAAAGTCACAATGACGCCTTGATCCATGGGCTTCGGCTGGATGTCGTGGTAGCAGGCGCGAAAACAATGCTAATCTCTTCGCACATCTCCAGCAGAGCTCTTGGGTAACATGGTGTATTGTCAATCAGCAGTAGTATTTTGAAAGGAATTTTTTTTTTTCCCAAGCAGTAGGTCTCAACAGTGGGCTTAAAATATACAGTAAACCATGCCGCAAACAGATGTGCTGCCAGCGAGGCTTTGTTGTTCCATTTATAGAGCTCAGACACAGCAGGTTTAGCATCAGTCTTCAGAGTCCTACGATTTTTGGGCCGGGCGTGGTGGCTCATGCCTGTAATCCCAGCACTTTGGGAGGCCGAGGCAGGCGGATCATGAGGTCAGGAGATCGAGACCATCCTGGCTAGCAGAGTGAAACCCCATCTCTACTAAAAAAATGCAAAAAATTAGCCGGGCGTGGTGGCAGGCACCTGTAATCTCAGCTACTGGGGAGGCTGAGGCAGGAGAATGGCATGAACCTGGGAGGCGGAGCTTGCAGTGAGCCGAGATTGCGCCACTGCACTCCAGCCTGGACGACAGAGCAAGACTCCGTCTCAAAAAAAAAACAAAAAACAAGAGTTTTAGGATTTTTGAAACAGTTAATGAGCTTTGGCTTTAACCCAAAGTCACCAGCTGTGTTAGCTCTTAAGAGAGTCAGGCTGTCCTTTGAAGCTTTGAAGCTAGGCATTCATTTCTCCCCTCTAGCTAGGAAAGTCCTAGATAGCATCTTCTTCCAATAGAAGGCTGTTTCAACTACACTGAAGATCCGTTGTTTAGTGTAGCCATCTTTGTCAATGATTTTAGCTACATCTTCTGGATAACTTGCTACAGCTTCCACATCAGCAACTTGCTGGTTCGCTTTCCACTTGTAGGTTTTAGAGCTGTCTTCTTTCCTTAAACCTTGTGAACCAACCTCTCCCAGCTTCCTGCAGCTTCCTCACCTCTCTCAGCCTTCACAGAATTGAAGAGAGTTAGGGCCTTGCTGTGGGTCATGCTTTGGCTTAATGTGTGGCTGGTTTGATCTTCTATCCAGACCACTAAAACTGTCTCCATATCAGCAATAAGGTTGTTTTGCTTTCTTATCATTTGTGTGTGTGCACTGGAGTAGAATTTTTAATTTTCTTCAAGATCCTTTTCTTTGAATTCACAACTTGGCTAACCAGTGCAAGAGGCCTAGCTTTCAGCCTGTCTCAGCTTTTGACATGCCTTCCTTACTAAGCTTAATTTCTAGAAGTATGACCCTTTCTTTCACTTGAACACACAGAGTCTGCTGTAGACTTATTAATTATTGTGTCTCAAGGAACAGGGAGGCCAGAGGACAGGGAGAGAGACAAGGAAATGGCCGGTCAGTAGAGCAGTTAGAACTCACACAACATTCACTAAGTTCGCAGTCTCACATGGGCACGATTCATGGTGCCCCAAAACACTTAACAACAGTAACATCAAAGGCCACTGATCACAGATCACCATAGCAGATATAATAAATAAATCATAAAAAAGCTTGAAATATTATCAAAGGGTGACACAGAGACAAGGAGTGAGCACATGCTGTTGGAAACATGGCACTGTTAGACTTTCTAGACACAGGGTTGCCAAAAACCTTCAATTTGGAAAAAAAGTACAAGTACAGTATCCGTGAAGTGTAGTAAGGCAAAGCACAATAAAACAAATAACTTTATATATATCTATTTCAATTTTATATTCTGAATACAAAGGCTGTTTATTAAGAATGTTGAGCTACCCAAGTATCATGTATAATAAACTATATAGAAATAGGAAACACTTCTTTGAATAAGCTACATACATAAAATATGATATCTTTAAAGATATATTAATTAATTTAAGAAATGTGCTTAGATGCCTACCGAATAAGGCACTGTGCTAGGAGCTATGTATGCAGTTGAATAAGGCACAACCCTACTCTTAAGGAGCTTACAGACTAGCAGAATTTGTAAGACACCGTGTAAGATGTAAGCTGGAAGTGATTTCTAATGTAAACAGCAGCGAATACTTTTTGCATTGAGCGTTAGTTTAGTTGTCTTTGCAAAAGCTTCTTTCTTTTCGTAATATGCGGCCTCATTCACAAACACGGGGTACACGGTACAGTCTCCGCCCAGTGGGATCGTCTTCCCATCAAGAGTTAAAAACATGGGATCCCCAGGATGCAGTGGTTTCCAGTCTTGATCCTCTCAGGAAACAATCAAAATAAATATATTATATTTGGTTTTTCTCCTCTAAAAATTTATGTCAGACTCTAGACAACTAACAAATTACAGTATTCTGTTGTTTTAAAAGAGATACTTGAGCGAGGCATTGAGATGCAGGCAAGTGATCTGACTGCGCTGACATTGGGTCGTGAATTTTGGCAGTAGTTTTAAGAGTTCCCCTTTGCATTTGTATAATTGAAACGTGTAATTAACATTTGCTTCAGCCAGGTGCAGTGGCTCCTTGCCTGTAATCCCAGCACTTGGGGAGGCCAATGTGGGTGGATCGCTTGAGCCTAGGAGTTCAAAACCAGCCTGGGCAACACAGAGATCCTATCTCTAGAAAAAATACGAAAAATTAGCTGGGTGTGGTGGTGCATGCCTGTAGTCCCAGATACTCAGGAGGCTGAGGTGGGAGGATTGCTCAAGCCCCCAGAGGTTGAGGCTACAGTGAGCTATGTTCACACCACTGCACTCCAGCCTGGGTGACAGAATGAAACCCTGTCTCTAAAAAAAAATAAAAAAGAGTTTGCTTCAATACCAGGTTTACCTTGAATGTAGCCAAAGAGATTTATAATATTAAAAGGCAAAACTAAATGCATGTCTACCTAAGTGCATAGTCTGCCTGTTGCCAGCTCAAGTTAAATTCTGTTCAGCAAAATTTAGGAAATATCCATTAGGAGTCTTCTGTGTGCAAGACATTCTACCGTTGGGAAATATAAAAATGAGCCATGTTGTACCTGCATACAAGGAGATTCTATTCTGACGGGGATTGGTGAGAGAAGGTGGTGCTGGGCTGGGGAGAGTCTGGGACAAGGTGGGTGTATTCCAAATGTGCTCCTACATTAGGGTAACAACTGAGTTATCTGAAGGGTCCCGCACCAGGGATTTGGACCTTTGAGCCCTCAAGCACCATGGCTGTCACACCACGGGAACCCCAGAACAGTTCTTCTCAAACTTTGAGGTGCTTGTAAATCATCTGGGGATTTTGTTAAGATGAAGATTCTGATTCTATAGGTTGGGGGTGGGGGCCTGGGATTCTGCATGTCTAACATTTCCCAGCAGCATCCGCATCACCCAGGAGCCTGTTAGAAAAGCAGGATTTCATTATGCGCAGCAGACCTACCAAATCAAAATCTTCATGTTAACAGGTCCTTGACGTTCACGTGCACGACATTAGTGTTTGGGAAGTGCCGCATCACCGCAGTTTTCTCCATCCTGGTGGCACATTATGATCGCTTGGGATGTTAAATACATATATACAGGTAGAGGGGCTGGCCCATTTCAGATAAATCAAATCAGAATCTGAGAGGAGGGCCTAGGCATCATTATTTTTATATTTTATTTTTAAATTTACCTACAGTGAAATTCGCTCATTTTTGTGTGCAGTTCTATGAGTTCTGACTTGCAGAGCATGGAGTCATATAACCCGCAACCATGCCATCAGGATACGTGCTTCTTTCAGCCACCTCCTCGAATCCCTCATGCTACCCATTTATAGTTCACTGTTTTCTGTGTTTATTGTATTTAGGCCCCAGATGATTTACAGGGTGGCTCGGCTGAGAACTATTTCTCTGAACCGGTGGTTTTTCAGGCAGAGACTTGCCCCAGAATCACTAAAGGAACCTCTTCAACACACGTCTGGCTAGCCCCACCTGTGGAGATTCCGACATTGTGCAGTGCTATCCAGACCTGAGCCACATGAAAATCACCTGGTGAACTCAATTGATTCCCTGTCTACACCCTGATGAATTAGATCAGAGCCCCTGGGAAGAGGACTCAGAAATCAGCATTTTTTCTTTTTCTTTTTAGACGTAATCTCAGCTCTGTCCAGGCTGGAGTGCAGTGGCACAATCTCAGCTCACTGCAACCTTCACCTCCCGAGTTCAAGCAATTTTCCTGCCTCAGGCTCCCGAGTAGCTGGGATTACAGGCGCCTGCCACCATGCCCGGCTAATTTTTTGTATTTTTGGTAGAGATGGGGTTTCACCGTGTTAGCCAGGATGGTCTCGATCTCCTGACCGCGTGATCCGCCCGCCTCGGCCTCCCAAAGCGCTGGGATTACAGGCGTGAGCCACCGCTCCTGGCCAGGAATCAGCATTTTTAAAAAGCTCCCCATAATTGTCATGTGGCTCAAGTTTGAGAAGCGCTACTTTAGTAGTTTGTGGTGGGTTCTAGGCACTGGGAGGGGGTCCCCTACGTGATTCCAGTTAGCATCCCTTAGTAAGAACTGTCATTCTTAGGACAAAATCTAGACTCATAACCGGGTCCTGAACTGTGTTTTCTCCAGGCTCTACCGTCCTCTGCTCACTCCTCCTCTCCAGGGATATGGGTCTTCTTGCTGTTCCTCAGATGCTCCAAGTTTGTTCCAGCCTCAGGGCCTCTCACTTGCCTTCCACATGGCTGGCTTCTCATCTTCTAGGTTCCAACTTCAGTGCCACCATCTCTGAGATGGCACTTTGTGACCACTCCGTCTAATTGGAACCCTTTGTTATACCCTCTGCTATATTATTTTGTGTATTTCTTTTACAGCACTTATTACAGTTTGAAATGATTTGGTTTACATATTGTTTACTTATTCATGGTCAGTTCTCCTCACCCATTGGGATGGAAGCTCCATGAGGAACCTTCCCTATCTTGAATCTCAAGGCCCAGAATGAGCTTAGTTGTCATTCAAAAATATTTGTTGGCAGAATTAACCAATCAATCCCTCCTGTAGAATACTGAGCCATTCATTATTGTCTGTCAAATCAAAACCATCCTTCCTAACTTTCGAGACCTACCACTAGCCCAGTTTGCTACTGATCTCATTCATCTCACTTCTCCGTCTGCCTGGGATTATTTTTGTACTCCTCAAGAGTATCCTAAAACCTGAAAAATCCTGTTTTAGCCTGCCATGATATCATCACCTTGGCCTCTGTTTCTTGTACTTGATATTTTTGTCACCAATAGTGCTTTCTTCCTTTCTCTCCCCCAGTCTTTACCTTTCCTTTAAAACACTGCTTAAGGCTGGGCAAGGTGGCTCATGCCTGTAATCCCACCACTTTGGGAGGCCGAGGCAGGTGGATCATGATGTCAGGAGATTGAGACCATCCTGGCCAACATGGTGAAACCCCATCTCCACTAAAAATACAAAAGTTAGCCGGGTGTGGTGACGTGAGCCTGTAATCCCAGCTACTCGGGAGGCTGAGGCAGGAGAATTGCTTGAACCCGGGAGGTGGAGCTTGCAGTGAGCTGAGATTGCACCACTGCACTCCAGCCTGGGCGACAGAGCGAGACTCCATCTCAAAAAACAAAAACAAAAACAAAAACAAAAACAAAAACAAACACTGCCTAAGGCTGCTTCTTCAGGTTTCCACCTGGGTCCCATTAAGCCACAAAGCAGGATTTGCTTCACTCGTCTGTATTACTGGGCAGGCCACTTCATTCAGTTGCAAGTCTGGATGACTATTAGAGTCACTAAACAGGGATAGGAACTGGATCAATCAGTGTTTTTCAATCCTGATTATCCAAGCCAAAAAGATCAGAGTATCTCAGAGTGGAGTCCTGCCATTGCTATTATGATGTTTTTTAAAAGCTCTCTAGGTAAAGGTTAGTCGGGGTTGAAAGCCCTGGACTAGATAATCCACCAGTTCTCTTCCATCTCTGAGGTCTGGGAGTGTGCAGGCCACTTGCACTGGGGAATGGATACTTTGGCTTTGGAAATCTGTTCTTCTCTCCTTTTCCCTTTGCCTTTTCCGGATTTAAACCTCCTACATTCTCTCAAGAGCCTTTTTTTTTTCCTTCTTCACTATGTCATTATTGATAAAACTAGGCAAGGAGTAGATTCTGGGGGTTCTGAGGAGAGTTGGGGAATGGTGGCAGAAGAAAGAGGTTCCAGTCGTTTTTCTCTAACTTATTCTGTCACAGGGAGGTAGCAAGTGATGCGGCCAACTTGAAAGAGCACTAACTCTGGATCTGTCATTGATAGCTACATGGCTGTGGGAAGGTTCTAACTTCCGTCCCTGTATTTCCTTATATTAAAATAGACATCATAATTCCCACCCGCTGAATGTGGGTAGGAGTTTCACTTTCTCTAAGTGGCCTTGTCTGACCACTCCTCTCCCATCTCATTATTCTGTCATCTCATCTGGCTGTCTTCATTTCTAGACTAAAGTTAGACTTTTGTGTACCTACACTATAAATTCCATTGAGCGTGCAGGCCATACTTACTGGTGTGTCCACACAGCCAGCACAGGTTACACTGAATAAGTATTTATTGAGCGACAGTCCGAACATCTTCCCTATCTACACTCAGTGTCTAATGAGAGCATCAAATGGGCGAATGTACGCGAAGTGCTGTATGAGCTATAAACTTCTATTCAAAGGTACAGCATTATTATTTTCAACATTTTAAAGAAAGAACAAATGTTACCTGCAGATTAGGATGGATGATAGCAGCAATTTCTCCATTTTCATCCCGGGGGTAATCAACTTTCTCTATAATTTTATAGACCTCAATGGCGCAGGGAGGAAATTCTTTTCCTATGACAAAAACAATATGTATCAATGGCAACTAAAAACATCTCTGGGCCGGGTGTGGTGGCTCATGCCTGTCATCCCAGCACTTTGGGAGGCCGAGTTGGGTGGATCACCTGAGGTCAGGAGTTCGAGAACAGCCTGGCCAACATGGTGAACCCCATCTCCACTAAAAATACCCAGGTTGGGATTATCCTAGTTACTTGGGAGGCTGAGGCAGGAGAATCTCTTGAACCTGGGAGGTGGAGGTTGCAGTAAGCCATTGCACTCCAACCTGGGCAACAAGAGTGAAACTCTGTCTCAAAAAAAAAAAAAAAATCTGGAAAAAGGGAAGTTAACAATGTAAGGAAGAAACAATAATAACAACAGCAACAATAACAAAATGAAGACAGCTATGGGGAGAACAGATAACGTTTAGTTAAGGATGTTCATAAACAGCACTAGGCCAAAAGATGTCCTTGAATGATTCCTATCAGCACTCTGTCCACAAACACGCCGACGGCCAGAGGTAGAAAACAGAACTGAAAAAGCCAGTTTGAGAGAAAAAGAATCTAGGTTTAGGGGTCAGGAGACCTGGGCTCTAATCCCCTGGCTATGCGGCCTTGAACAAGATGCTTAACTTCTTGAGGCTCGCTTTCTTGACCTGTCAAATGAAGGTATTGGATTAGCTTATCTTGGAGGACCCTTCCAGCTATGATGTTTTATGACTGCATATTTTCAGGAGGAGTTCCAGCAACTGAGGTGACTTCAGTATCGTGCTCTTTTTCTTTCCTTTTTTTTTTTTTTTTTTTTTTTGAGATGGAACCTCGCTCTTTCACCCAGGCTGGAGTGCAGTGGCGTGGTCTTGGCTCACTGCAACCTCCACCTCCCGGGTTCAAGCGATTCTCCTGCCTCAGCCTCCTGAGTAGCTGGGACTATGGGCATGCACCACCACGCCCGGCTAATTTTTGTATTTTTAGTAGAGATGGGGTCTCACCATGTTGGCCAGGATGGTCTCGATTTCTTGACCTTGTGATCCGCCCGCCTCAGCCTCCCCAAGTGCTGGGATTACAGGCGTGAGCCACCATGCCCAGCCTCTTTTTCTTAACTAAGTACATTAGACACTTGGACAGCTCCTGAGTAATGAGATCTTGTGATGCAGGCAGCCTGCCAGTGGTGGAGACCAACTTCCAAAGATGCAGCAACCTCAACCCAATTCCCAGAAACTTGGAAAAGGAGTAGTTTATGCATATACCAGGCTATCTCTGAGCAAACAGGATGAACGTTTGGTCCAATGTAGGGCCCACAGCGTGTTATGGTCACAACTCAAAGGAAAGCCTTCCTTTGCTTTTAGAGCAGAGTTAGAATGGGTATGCCCAGTGATCACTTCTGTATCAGTTAGCTTCTGCTGCATAACATACTACCCCAGAATTTAGTGGCTTCAAACAACCACCTCCTAATTTAGTTCATGATTCTGTGGGTTGGTTGGAAAGTTTCTTCCGTCTACACTGGCTTTGTGGATTTTTTTTATTGTTTTGCTCCTGCCTTTGTGGTAAGCTGACAGCTCACCTGGAGGCTGGATCCTATGGGATGGCCTTACTGTTATGTCTGATGGGCTGTCAGCTGGAGTTGCATGACTCTGTCTGTTAGGGTGCCTGAGTTTTCCACCTCAAAGGCTTTCATTATCCAGCAGGCCAATGTGGGCTGTTGTACATAATGGTACACGTACAGGGTTTCCAAGAGCAGGAAGAGAGCAAGCTCCAATGTGCAAGTGCTTTTCAAGCCTCTTCTATGGCACAAAACAATTCACATGGGCAAGCCAGCTATTCCAGAAGTGGAAAAATAGACTCTATCTCTGAACAGAAGGATATGAAACATCACACTGCCAGGATGTGGACGCGGGAAAGGGAAGAATTAAAATCTACCACACCTTCCAAGATGAAGATGGGAACTTACCAGATCTCATTTCTTTAAACCAAAAAGTTGGATAGGAAGAAAGTAAAAACTGATAGAACACAAAGGAGTATGTTTTTGCTACTTACAGTTGGAAGGAGTCTTGAAAGCCTAACTTCCATCTATGTTTGAGTATTCTCCGTATTGTTCTGGCCATCTTACAGATGCAGAAGATGACTTCTTACAGCCTCAAAAAGTGTGGCCCGTTTCATTGCTGCTCAGCTTTTTTAATAAGAAATTTCTGTCTCGCCAGGCGCAATGGCGCAGGCCTGTAACCCCAATGCTTTGGGAAGCCGAGGCAGGCAGATTGCTTGAGCTCAGGAGTTCAAGACCAGCCTGGGCAACGTGGCAAAACCCTGTCTCTACAAAAACCACAGAAATTAGCCAGGTGTGGTGGTGCACGCCTGTAGTCCCAGCAACTCAGGAGGCTGGGTGGGAGGATTGCTTGAGCCCAGGAACTTGAGGCTCCATTGAGCTGTGATTGGACCACTGCACTCCAGCCTAGGCAACAGAGTGAGACCCTGTCTCAAAAAAAAAAAAAAAAAAGAAAACAAAAGAAAAAAATTTCTGTCTCTAGATAACTTTATCTCATTGATTCTCTTCTGCCCTCTGGGTCACAGAAAATGTGTTGAATTTCTTTCTAATGTAGACTTCTTTCTTTCTTTCTTTTTTTTTTTTGAGACAGTCTCACTCTGTCACCGAGGCTGGAGTGCAGTGGCATGAACTCGGCTCACTGCAATCTCTGCCTCCTTGGTTCAAGCGATTCTCATGTCTCAGCCTTCGGAGTAGCTGGAATTATAGGCGCATGCCACCACACCCAGCTAATTTTTGCATTTTTAGTAGAGACAAGGTTTTCCCCATGTTGCCCAGACTGGTCTTGAACTCCTGACCTCAAGTGATCTGCCTGCCTCAGCCTCCCAAAGTGCAAGGATTACAGGCATGAGCCACCGCGCCTGGCCAGGAATTATTCTCATTATGATTTTCAAGCTCTTCAACATTCTCAATGCTCTCCTTGGCTAAATTCCTCTTTATAGATGTTTCTCCTGGATTACGGACTCAGAATTTATTTACAGTTCTCAAGTGTTGTTTATTCAAGGCAGAAAAAAAAGACCATTACCTCCCTTATTCTGGGATTTTTTTTAAACATAAGAACAAAACTTTGGTCCCTGATGTTGTTAACCTTAAACATTTGGTTTAAACAATTGTTAAAGATTGTCAGGACTTCTTGGATCTGCCTTCTCAACCAGGATGTTTTCCTGCTATCTTCCTGAGACCTGTCACTTAGCTAAGCATGTCGCATATGTCTTTATCCAAGTCACTAACTACAGTTCTGAGTAGGACAGAGTCAAGAATGAAGCCCTTCTACACACTTCTTCAGACTTTTCACATGGCGGCTATGATTCATTTGTCAGCATTCTGTGGATAGGAGTGCTCAGTTGAAAATCCACCAAGCTGGATAGTCTAAATTAATCGTGGTTGACAATTTTTGATTTGCCGAATCCTTTGCTTAAATGAAATGTTACACAGAAGAGCTCTGGTTGAAGCAGAGATAAGGGGTTAAGGGGTGGGGTGTTCCAGGAACTGCTTTTCTCCACCGTTGTGATAGGATTCTATGGACTATGATCTGAAAACCAACCACGTTTTCCACCCAGATTTGTGGCCTTCTATCTGAATGTATCACTTCTTAATATATTGTAGTCCCACACTTCCTATTCAGAGGGTTTATTGTAAGTATGTTGTGATCTTCTCAAAACCAGTTCCATTAGACAGTATAGAACCTGCCCTCAGACAAAGATGGTAAAAAGCAAATTTTCAGTTTTCATGATTTTGGAGTCAAAGGATTCCCAAGCACAAAACGAATGTCTGTGATTGCAGTGGGGTGCGCACGATCTGAGGTTGAGGAATTCACTCCCCACAGACACCGAAGTACACACCCCCTCTGTTATTATAATTGCCCATTCCTCAACAACAATTTCAACTCAGTCTGTTGGAATAATTGTTTACATAGAATGTCTCTTTGATTTTAAGCAACTATTTTCCATTTTAAAGTAAACTTTTTTTATAACTAATAGACTTTTTAGTGCAGTTTTAGATTTACCAAATAAATGAGCAGATAGTGCATAGAGCTGCATATACCCACCTTGTCCACCAGTCCCCGTTTAATTAATTTTTAATTACAGAAATAATACATAAATACATTATTCTTATTGAATATAATTAAGACAAAATTAGCCTGGGTTTTGCCTCCCGTCCCCGGTAACTATTGTTATCAGTTTGGTGTGTTTTCTTCTAGGACTTTCCCTGTGATGTGTTAACATATATATGTATCCTAGAAGGTGATGATTATTATTGTTATTTTAAAGCCAATTGGTGTACTGAATGTCTTGGTCTGCAACTTGCTTTCTGCTAATTACCATTGTGTTTTGAAGATTCTTCCATGTTAGTTTATTTAACTCTCCACCAACAGGTGGACATTCATGCTGTTTCCATTCTTTTGCTGTTATAAATGATGCACGATAACAATCTTTGTAAACAACATGTTGCTTGTGCTTGTGTTTCTTTGAGATGTGGAATCGCTGGGTAATAAGATTGGTGTGTTTTAAGAAGTGGATGCTGTAAGATTATCCTCTAAAATGTCTTTACCAACTTATATGTTCACTTATATGTTCACCAGCAGGTAATGAGAGTTTCCCCTTTTCCTACACATTTACCAACGCTTGATATTTGCAGACTTTAATATTTTCCCAACTTAATGGGGGAAGTGACTTCTTATTTTAATTTGCATTTCTCTAATTACTAGTGATGTTGAACATCTTTTCATATGTTTACTGGGCATTTGTATTTTCTCGTCTTTTCTTTTTAAAATGGAGATTAGCAGGAAATAAGGATTTAATGTGGAGTCTTTATTTGGCAGCTGCTTTTCTTGAATGTGTCTATCCTGGCCATTGGGGAATAGCTGAAGTGAATAAAAATTTTAAAAAGCACTTCATATCTTTAGCATGGCAAATCTGACCCAGGTTCCAATTGTTATTTAAATGTTTGGTGGTTAAGTTTGATAACGTTACCTTCATTATTACTTACCTTCATTGAAATGATGTATAAAATCAAGAGCATGTTTAATCATTTTTCTCATTTGATCCAAGATATCAGCTCTCAGAACCCCTTGAGGCTGAGGACCAACTTCTATACCTAGGTACAGAAGGAGAGATAGTCACATTTATATAAGTATGAAAATATATTATAAAACTAAGCATTTTAATGTATCAAGATTTAGAATTATGTTGTTAAAATTATTAAAAAGGTAAACCATGTAGCATCATGGAAAATATTTGAGACATAATGTTTGGCAAAACGTGAAGCAGAACATTTACATGTTTAAGTTAGATGCATAGTGAATAAAGACTGGGAAAGAACATGGAAAAAATCAGTGGTGTTAGAAATAGGAAACTCTTGTGGTCTTTTTTCTTTAAATTTCCTTCAGTATTGCTAAAATATTTAAAAGTCATAACATAGTAAAAAAGGTGAACAAGTTTATGCTGACAAAATAATAGGTGGACCTGAAGAGAAACTGTTAAGATCTAACATTTAGCTGTGACGGGAGGAAGGACATCTATTTTTATAGATTTCACAGAAATCCAGACTAGATGAATCATGGATTTCAGTCAATATGACAATCTATGTGACCCTTGAGCAATGATTTTGCCCTTAACCTAGCAATCCATCCTAACACAATAGTGCAATGGTTTTATTTATTTATTTATTTTTTCGAGACAGAGTCTCACTCTGTCACCCAGGCTGGAGTACAGTGGTGTGATTTCTGCTCACTGCAACCTCTGCCTCCCAGGTTCAAGCGATTCTTCTGCCTCAGCCTCCCGAGTAGCTGGGATTACAGGCACGGGCCACCATTCCTGGCTTATTTTTATATTTTTAGTAGAGGCAGGGTTTCACCATGTTGGTCAGGCTGGTCTCAAACTCCTGACCGCAGGTAATCTGCCCTTCTCGGCTTCCCCAAATGCTGGGATTACAGGCGTGAGCCGTCGTGCTTGGCCTGGTTTTAATTTTATGCAGGAAAAAACTTGTGTTCATTTCTTCTAACTCATATGAAATGATGCCTGTACTATTAGGTCTACTTTGTGTGGCTGTTAAGCATCCATCCTTACATCTACAAAATACTCTTTCTTTAAACTACTTTTGTAGACCCTTCCTTCCTGTTCAAGTCTCCCACAAAGTCATCTCCCCAGTCATCACCTTCTCTATTTGGCAAACCATTTACCCCAACTGCACTACCCTCATTCTCTTCCATCCCATTAACATACTGCATTCTTTTACACTCATCTTGTTTTCACCCGCTTCTGTTATTTCCCAATACACAAAATCTTATCTTATTCTCTTGCATCATTTTTTATTTGTTGTGCTTAGGTTTCTTGCATATATGTATGAACATATATTTAAGTATATGGTGTCATAAATGTGGCTAAGGTATGCATCTGTGCATAAATGACTTACACAAATATGTGAAAAAGTGTGTTTGTAGATATGTCTGTAGGAATACTATAGAATACATTGTCGTTTGCCTACCCCAAATCCATTTCACTTTCCTCCTGTTTCTAATAGAATCCTGATATTAGTTGGGCTTCCAATCTTCAAGGTAGGTAAATTTCTCTCCATTTCAAGAGTAAATGTTGAATAGTTTAAGTCAATCATAATAATCCCCTAGTCAATGATTTAAGAATGAAGGAATCTTTATTATGCACAAAAGTATCAATACTTGAAGTAAGGAATTAGAGTAAGCTAAATATCCAAATACAGGCAATTAGCTGAAACAAATCAAAGGCTTAGCAATAAGAGATACAGATCCTGTTTCTCTGTGACACCAAATAAAAGCTTAAGATTTCCAAACTCTCAAATATCAATCTTAGGCTATGATATTTGTAGGCAATGCTACTCTTAGCCAGAACAAACATTGCTGATATGTTTGGCCCTTACAAGTTGAGCCAAATCTTTAAAATATTTCAATATGAGGGAGTATTAAGCTCATTGTAAATAATTAGAAATGTTATATGTTCTCCTTCCAACTTTGCTGTTTTATTTGGAATATTTTATATCATGCACTCACTGGGAAAAAAGCATGTTTAACATTAGAGAGACAATCTTTCTGAGTCAACATTTTATAATACACTAAGAATATTGCTGCATACAAATTTTGCTTTAACTTCTAGTAGGCACCTACAAGGACCACCTTTGTACTCTGTTCTCAAGGAAGAAGAAATGTGACAGGATCATTCTAGGCAAACCTTATCCTAGAAAGAAGCAGTTTGCTGCAGCCACTCTTATGATCACACACACACACGCACACACACACATAAACACACACACACACACAAATATGGGAAAGCGACTGGACACAGCCCTCTCCTAACTTTCTCAGATTAACCGTGGTCTCATTTGAGACTTAGGAAAGTTATTTGTGTAATTATTATTCATTCAACGCCACCCCTGACTCTGCCATAGCCATGTCCTACAATCTAAATATTCTGCTCTGATATGAGATCTTGTATCGAAAAATTAATTTTTGGTTTGGACAATAGGGCCACCAAAGATGGCATATAAAGATCCTTTTATTATGCACAAAAGTATCACTACTTGAATTTCCAGAATAATTTTAGATTTTAATTTATTTATATTGTTTGCCAACCTGCTTTTAAATTACATTACTCCTGGCTAAACCATCTGAGATTTAACAAAAAATATTTTAAGTTGTAATTTTAATTGTAGTGTAGTCTGCAGATAATTAATTATGCTAATGAGGCGCTCAAGAAAGAGAATGGACTAGAGAAGAAAGAGGGTGTTTGAGAGGGTGTGTGAGAGTGTGGGGCTGCATGTTGGAAGTTACCAGAAGGTAAAGATGAAGTCACAGCCTAGTAACTGGCAGGATAAACAAGTGAATAGATGACAAACAGCTCGTGAAATGTCTATTGCAAAGCAGGTGGTAAGAGGGATGTGGAGAGAGGATTCTTCATGGATCTTCTGCATATCTGCAAGTCTCATGAGCAAGACACGGACTATTTTTGTTCCAGATGATCTTTTCAAGGATGTCTGTATAGTGAACAGCCTTGGAAGTTAGGAATGGGGTCTTCCCTGGAGCAAAGGGCACTCGTGCCTACTGCCCATTATAAAAATGAAGGTTCACAGCCGGGTGCGGTGGCTCACGCCTGTAATCCCAGCACTTTGGGAGGCCGAGGCGGGTGGATCACCTGAGGTCAGAAGTTCGAAACCAGCCTGGCCAACATGATGAAACCCTGTCTCTACTAAAAATGCAAAAAATTTGCTGGGTATGGTGGTGGGCACCTGTAATCCCAGCTACTCAGGAGGCTGAGGCAGGAGAATTGCTTAAACCCAGGAGGCGGAGGTTGCAGTGAGCCGAGATTGTGCCACTGTACTCCAGCCTTGGCAACAAGAGCGAAACTCCGTCTCAAAAAAAAAAAAAAAGGTTCCCTCCTAGAATGCAACCACTGGCATGGATAGCTGCCATCTGGCTCTCTCTATGTCACCCTGTGGGAACTGGAGCTTGGGTAATGGTGCAGAAATGCTGACACTCTGCTATTACTACTGTCAATAATCTATTCTTTGTCTCTGTTTTAGGAGTCTTGTGTCTTCTACTGGCATCCACTCAGAGGTGCTAGGCTAATGGTTAGCTTGTAAGTCGGGTAAAATTTCTCAGATCTTTGACAGGTCTTGATAAGGAGAGGGTCAGAAAACAACCTGGAGTAGGTCACTGGTAGCACAAGCACTTTGGAGAAACAGATCCCTTGCCTTTCTGATCCAGTCAAATCTGATCACTCCGGACAAGCTCATGAATGTATGTATTTCCAGTGTTAGATGGCTAGTATTTTTGTTTGTTTGTTTTTTTGAGACGGAGTTTCACTTTTGTTGCCCCGGCTGGAGTGCAATGGCATGATCTCGGCTCACTGCAACCTCCACCTCCGGGGTTCAAGCGATTCTCCTGGTTGGCTAGTATTTTATATATGGTTATAGTTATAGAACCTGCATGGGAAGGAATGGATAAGTTTGTATAAGTCTGTGTGGGATAGGTGTGATTAAAACTGTGAATGAGGTACAGGTGTGGTGGCTCACGCTTGTAATCCCAGCACTTTGGGAGGCCAAGGTGGGAGGATCGCTTGAATCAGGAGTTTGAGACCTGATCATACTGAGATCCTGTCTCTACAAAAAATAAAAAATTAGCTGAATGTGGTGGCACGTGCCTGTAGTTCAAGCTACTTGGGAGGCTGAGATGGGAGGATTGCCTGAGCCCAGGAGGTCAAGGCTGCAGTGAACTGTGATCGTGCCACTACACTCAGCCTGGGCAACAGAGTGAGACCCTTTTCCAGAAAAAAAACAAAACAAAACCCTACTGTGAATGATGATCATTTATAAGTTAGAATTGTGTACTTACTGGTAATTTGAGCTAATATTTAGTAAGCATACATTATCAGCCTGCAGAAGGGGATAGGGAACAGAGAGTGCTAAGATAAATGGAGAACACAGTGTATCAAGTATGGCATGTCATCAGTTAGGGGTTTGGGGCCCTTGTATATGATATTCCTTTTTCCTCAAAGTATTGTCTGAGGACAGGGACTGGTCCACCAATTGTCTGCTGCTGGTCCCAGGCGAGATATGTACAGAAATTAAAGTAAGTGTTTAGAAACTTTTATAGCAATTTGACATTGCTAAAATATTCAAGTATGTGATCGTTTTTCTAGAAATCCATTTTTAAATTACATTTTACAAAAGTATTGCTCTATAGCAGATTGGAAATCAGCAATGGCCTTTCATCACAGATAATTTCAAGACACTTGTCTAGAATCCTGTTGACTGCTCTCAATTTTTTTCCTTTCCTCCCCCAAACACATACACATACACAACCTCAAGATGGATCCCACTTCTTTGGGCCTTCTGTGATCCATCAAGACTGGGTTAGGTCTTTCCTGCTCTTCCAGTCTCCTGTAATTGCCCCTATTTAGCATTTATCACTCTGTGCAGTGATTACCTGGTTACCTGTCTGTTTTCTCATCACATACGAAGCTGTTTGAGGGGAGACTGTGTGTCTTGCTCATTGTTCTGTCCCCCGCACCTAGCACAGGGTTGGTCTCTGGTAGGCACACTATAAATATTAGTCAAATGTACACATTTCTGGAGTAATTAATGCTATAGAGGAGGGTCAGGGAAAGTTCTATAGGAGGTGACAGGTGAACTGAATCTTGAGAATGAGAAGAATTGTGCCAGACTAAATAGAAGGGCCAAGCATTACAGCAAAGGGAACATGAACAAAACCAGAAAGCTGCTCAGTGAAATTGGGGAAATTCGGTACAATTAGAGCCTGCCTGGAGCTAAATTGCTTGTTACTTGACAATTATAAGCCTAAGGATATGGAAGGTAGCTGTAAATGTTTTTTTAAAAATAATTTTCTCGGCCAGGCAGTGACTCATGCCTGTAATCCCAGCACTTTGGGAGGCTGAGGCAGGTGCATCACCTGAGGTCAGGAGTTTGAGGCCAGCCCTGGCTAACATGGTGAAACTCCGTCTGTACTAAAAATACAAAAATTACAGGGTGGCACATGCCTGTAATCCCAGCTACTAGGGAGCTTGAGGCAGGAGAATCACTTGAACCAGAGAGGTAGAGGTTGCAGTGAGCTGAGATCACACCATCGGACTCCAGCCTGGGTGACAGAGCAAGACTCTGTCTCAAAAATAAAATAAGATAAAAAATAAATTTCTCTGAGTTTCAGCTAGGACATATTTTATTGAGTTATGACAGTGGGAACTATGACTTACCCACAGGATACTTGGCTATGGAACGAGTGGTCGCATATTTGAGGGAAGGATGCTCAATCAGATAAACGTAGCAGGGTAGTGGAGCCAGAGAAGTCTGAAAAAAATCAAAAACGTCTTTCTTAGGTAAAAACCGTATGTTTTGTTCTCTTTGCTTCAACAGAGTCAATAATACCTTCAATACGTTTTACTTCATCAACTAAGATTGGTAAGACAGCTTTATGAAATACTTTAAAACCCAATGGTATTATAGCTTTGAAAACATACAAATAAATTATACAATATGAAATTCATATACAATTGAATTATACAGTGTCTTTCCAGGTAAAATATACATTAAATAGTTCTCCAGAACCATGATCAAAAAACATGAAATAAATGTTCTTTCTTAATGGATGTGGTGATTTTTGTTTCATCACTGGTTACACTAACTATTTAGCTTGGTATTGGTCTCTTAAACAATTCTGTTTCTATTCCTGTGGTCCAGCTCTCTACAGATGTTGGGTGATTCCCCCTCCTCCTGCTTATCTGCATGAAAATTGAAGACAGGCCTCTTGGTTTGGATAACAAAGTGTCAGCAATTCTGCTTCCATATCTGGCAACCAAAGCATTCCGCTCTCTCTTCAATAGGCAATGAAGAATTGGGGTGGGGGGAGGGGGGAGGGATAGCATTAGGAGATATACCTAATGCTAAATGACGAGTTAATGGGTGCGGCACACCAACATGGCACATGTATACATATGTAACAAACCTGCACATGGTGCACATGTACCCTAAAACTTAAAGTATAATAGTAATAAAATTTAAAAAAAATTAAAAAAAAAAAGAATCGCTACATTATGATCTCCTACCAGGACCACTACCCAGTTACTGTCCAAAACTGAAGGGAAACAAAAATAATAATCTTTACTATAGGCCAGGTATGAGGCTAAATGTTTTAAATACTTTATGTCATTTAAGGCTTTGAGTACCCTTATGGGTAAGTGTTGTTTGTTATGACACCAATTTTATAAAATGAAGGAGGCAAGGTTTTGGGAATGGTGTGTTTTGTCTAAGGTTAGTGAAGGAGAAAGTCAGGATCTGAGCACAGGCCACACTCTTTCCTCTCAATCATCCTTGCTCTCAGGAAGGAAGGCTATCTAGTACACAGAAATAAGCATACAGTTCCTTATGTGTGTTTCTGGTTGGTTGCTATTTTCTAGCAAATTTTCTCTGAGATTTCTGAGCCTTAAAATGATTATGAAGTACTGAAAGATTAGACGTATTCTGGGGTGTCTAAATCAAATGGGGACGAGGGCAGGACTAAAGGGAGGCAATCTTTTTATCACTGGGCTTTAGTCTACGTTAAAGGACTATTTCTTAAGTTTCCTAAAACCTTGTAATTGAGATCCCATACCATTTAAAGTTTTAATATTAATTTTACTTGGTTTTAACAAATTGACCATACCATTTAAACTTTTAATATTAATTTTACTTGGTTTTAACAAATACCCCACCATCTGGTGGCTGTCTGGATAAAACGTGTAATTTTATAGACACAAGAATCCACAAGTGTTTTATTACTTTATTAATTGTGTTTATTATTTTACTTATTTCCTCTCTTTTTCTCCTTCCTCTCACCACTGCCTCTGTGTTCTGGTAGCACCCTTTCCCCCCAACCACCAAGCCTGGCTATGGAATAAACCCCATTTCTCTTGCACCTTCCCTCATAACTGTTTTCTGATTGTCTCACATCCATAATTGACTTAAAAGTACAAGTCCTTTGCTAACTTATAAATTAATAACATTAACATTACCTTAATGTAATGAAACATCTGAATTAAAAAGTTATTCCTGGAATCCTCAAGAATAAGAGTGCACCCCATGTTAGAGGTGGTGTTGTGAAGGTCAAAAATAATGTCATAGGAATCTTCACTGTCTTTTGGACCAAATAAATGATTTATTTCTTGAGCCCTTCTCACTTCATATGGCAAATCTTCTGACATTTTTTTGCTGTTATAAGCAGAAAGAAAAAGATGAACAACATCTGTGCCTGAGATAATATAAACATATAATAAGAACACAGTGTAAAAAGAACCAGTCGCCAAATCTTTAATATGAAAAATCTGTGTGGTAAGTAAAAACTTACCTGAAATGTTTATATATGAAAACTTACATTCTTTTTCTTCATTTGATTCCATATAACTAATGTTGCATTGGCATGCTTGCGAAGTAATACGTGCATTTATGTGGCTGGTCATGAATAGGACATATCAAACAGAATTTATCATTTGATTTCAATCTTGAACGCAACATATCCATTAATTTAATGAACAGTTTCTTAGTAGTTATGGTACACTGGGTTATTTATTATGGGACTAGACCATCAAATGCATCTTTTTTTCCCCCACTTTAGCTAATTCTAGTGCACAAATATAGTCACTTAGGGGCTCACATAATCTAATTAGAGATCATTTTAATTTTTAATTTTTTGAGACAGGATTCTGCTCTGTTGCCCAGGCTGGAGTGCAGTGGCCCAATTATGGATCACTGTACCCTCAAACTCCTGGGCTCAAGCAATCTTCCCATCTCAGCCTCCTGAGTAGCTGCTGAAACTACAGGTGCGTGCCACCATGCCCAGCTAATCTTCTTATCTTTTGTGGAGATACAGTCTTGCTCTGTTGCCCAGGCTGGTCTTGAACTAAAACTGCCTTTGCAAAAATTATAACTGAGACAATTATTACAATGAAAGAGATCTAACCTGACTCCATCTTGCTTCTAATCTCCAAGCTATCCTTGTTCATGCCTGGGTGTAAACTGAACTAACTTTGGGAGGAACTTACAGCTTAACTTTGAAACAAAGATGATAACAGCCCTTTCCCAAAACAAGCCCCCTTCCTACCTGGGGACTAGACTGCCTTTGCAGGACTAACAAATTAGCCACAAGATGAGAAATTATGGTTTAGGAGTCATGCAGCTGGAGGGCCGCAAGATTCTGAACCTCCTGAAATTGCTCCTGGGGATAACATCACTATTGTAAAACCTAAGATCAGGGCTTGAGATATTTTGTAAACCCTGAGTTGACAGATCAGCTGGCACCACCCAGATGGATAAACTGGCTTATCTGGTCTCGTGGTCCCCACGTAGGAACTGATTCAGCGCAAGAGGACAGCTCCAACTCCCTATGATTTTACCTTCAATCTGATCAATCAGCACTCCCGACTCACTGGCCCCCTACCCACCAAATTATCCTTAAAAATTCCAGTGTCTGAATTTTCGGGGAGACTGATTTGAGTAATAATAAAACTCTGGCCTTCTGTACAGCCGGCTCTGTGTGAATTAAACTCTTTATTGCAGTTCCCTTGTCTTGATAAATCAGCTCTGTCTGGGCAGCGGATGAGGAGAACTTGCTGGGTGGTTACAGAAGTCTTGGCCTCAGGCAATCCTCCTGCCTTGGCCTCCCAAAGTGCTGGAATTACAAGTATGAGCAGCCACACCTGGCCTAATTAGAGATTCTTAATTGAGGTCCAGGAACCACTAGAGGTCCAGGGACAGAGTTTTCAGAGTCTAACCTCTCCAAAAAGGCCACAAGTTTGCAGGTACAGATATATGTATTTTTTTTCTGGCACAAGGGCCAGTAGTTTTTCTTCCATTCTCAAATGGGCCTCTACCCTCTCCCCACTTCCCACAATGGTTAAGATACATTTTTTTTCTAGATATAATAATGTTTTTCATTTACTTTTCCTCATTAAACCGTTCAACCACATTTTCCTAAAATTCCATCTATTTGTATTCCTTGGTTATTTTTGCTAGTATCTTCAAGGGACCTACTGTGTACAATGGGCTAATTCCTGCCTGGAATGAGATCAGGAAGGTGGAGTAGTTATTTTGTGACTTTGAAGCAAAAACCATGAGGACAAAGCCGGCATCTTGAGATAGTGCACTGGGAAGGTAGAAGGGACCACGTCGAGTCGGTGCAGGGGGAAGGTGGAAAGGGCCACGTTGAGATGGTGCAGTGGGAAGGTGGAAGGGGCCATGTTGAGACAGTGCTGTGGGAAGGTAGAAGGAGCCTGTGGCATTGATGATATCATGTGGCCGCTCCATCAGCCCTGGACAGCCTACTTCTGGACTTATTATTTGTGAACAAGAAACCCTTATTTGTTTAAACCACTATTCTTAGGTTCCTATTGTATGCAAACCAAGCCTAATGGATATTTATACATTTTAAAAGTTAATTCATGAAATAACCCCCTGAGGTCGCGCCCGACAATTTTGGTTCTATATCATTCTTCCGCATTTGAGTAAATGGTGCTAGTATCTACCCAGTTGCTCAGAGTCAAGTCTGGAAGTTTTCAAAAAGATGGACACTTTTGAGTTCTCATGCCTGCAGTTGAGCTCCCATTGGAAGAGTCCCAAGGGATGAAGAATAGGGAAGAGTGAGATTCTGAAGGGCATTAGCCATACTAAGTTGATTAAATCTATTCTGGATACATTTTTAAAGAATTTTCAGCAGGGGAGAGACATGATAAGATTTGCATATTAGGATGATTCCTAGAGGTATCAGATGGAAAATAGATGACAGGAAGGGTCAGAGCAAGTCTGGATGCAGAGAGACCCTTTAGGAGGCTATTCTAACTGTCCACAGAGGAAATCAACTAAGGTAGTAAAACTGGAGAGGAAGGCTGGATTTGTGAAGTACTTGCAAGGAATAATTGGGAGGACTTAGTGACCCACTAGACGTGGGAGACAAAGGACTGGGAAGGTTCTAGGGTGATTTTCACAGGGGACTTGGTGGATAATGATGCCACCACTGAGATGAGGAATATAGGAAAATGAATAAATTTGGGAGAGGCAGGATGGGAGAAGTTAATTAGTTTATCTATTTTATAATTTTTCAACCACGCTGGGAACAGTCTAGTCTCTGAACAGTGTTAACAGTAAGGAGCAGAAAGTGAATTTAAGTGAAAAGACTGTGCTCACTGAAATGCATACTACTGGGTGCTCATAAACTCACCCCAGTCCATTTCACACCTATTTGGGAAGTTAATATGCCGACTAAAAGTTATCCTTCAACAAATTCTTACTTGTAATATAGAAGTTAGTTAACAGCTCTCTTAGGTCAATAGATAAGCATGAATTGTGTTGACATAACCTCAGTCATGAAGATAAAGCATTTCTCAAATTAAAATTTATGCTAGTAAAAATATGATTTGATACAAACAGGATGACTGCAGTATAATTGCCCTGAAAAACATCTATTCCATAAAGTGAGGCATGTTTCTATTAAGAGTAGTGTCCATGTTTTGATCTGTGTTGAGACTAAACCTAAGGAGTGATCTAACTCAAATTAGAGTTGATCAGAAAACAAGCACATAGAACAGTGGCTAGTTGTGCCTGTGCATATCTTATATATATATATATTTTTTTTTTTGAGACGGAGTCTCGCTCTGTCACCCAGGCTGGAGTGCAGTGGCACCATCTCTGCTCACTGCAAGCTCCGCCTCCCAGGTTCACGCCATTCTCCTGCCTCAGTCTCCCGAATAGCTGGGACTACAGGTGCCCGCCACCATGCCCGGCTAATTTTTTGTATTTTTTTTAGTAGAGACGGGGTTTTACCGTGTTAGCCAGGATGGTCTTGATCTCCTGACCTCATGATCTGCCTGCCTCAGCCTCCCAAAGTGTTGGGATTACAGGTGTGAGCCACTGTGCCCGGCCATGTATCTTATATCTTAGCTAGTAGTCTACCAACTCCTTGAGGGGTAGAAACCAAGTTGTATAGAGCTGTGTACTCCCCCAGTACCTGGCACAGTTTCCTGAGAAAAACAGATGTTTCAGAATATTTTTTAGTAAAAGAAAAAAAGCGGCCCAGCGCGGTGGCTCATGCCTATAATCCCAGCACTTTGGGAGGCTGAGGCAGGCAGATCACCTGAGGCCAGGAGTTTGAGACCAGCCTGGCCAACATGGAGAAACCCCGTCTCTACTAAAAATACAAAAAATTACCCGGACATGGTGGCAAGTGCCTGTAATCCCAGCTACTCGGGAGGTTGAGGCAGGAGAATCACTTTAACCCGGAGGTGGAGGCTGCAGTGAGCTGAGATTGCACCATTGCACTCCAGACTGGGCAACAAGAGCGAAACTCCATCTCAAAAAGAGAAAGAAAGAAAGAAGTGGTAAAAAGCAAATATGTGGAGTCATATTATATCCACAGTGGTAGCTATTATGATGTAAACGAAGGCAAAAATAATTAATAAGGACCTAACCTAGCATGTTATGACTGCTTACGTTGTATGCAATATATTACAAATCAGCAAAATATAAGCTCTGAAAATTCAGATGGTGTCTTTAGTTCTCATCTCTGGTATCCCATCTACAACAATCCACCATGGAAGTTAAGTACGTCTGCTACTTCGGATCACAGGGAGGTCTGATGTCTTTATTTTTATTTATTTATTTATTTTTTTGAGACGGAGTCTTGCTCTGTCTCCCAGGCTGGAGTGCAGTGGCACAATCTTGGCTCACTGCAAGCTCCGCCTCCCGGGTTCACGCCATTCTCCTGCCTCAGCCTCCCAAGTAGCTGGGACTACAGGCACCCGCCACTACGCCCGGCTAATTTTTTGTATTTTTAGTAGAGATGGGGTTTCACTGCATTAGCCAGGATGGTCTCGATCTCCTGACCTCGTGATCCGCCTGCCTCGGCCTCCCAAAGTGTCTGATGTCTTCTGACAAAAGATATTTAATCACGCTTTCATTCAACAAATATTACTTGAAACATTACATTTTTTGAACTAGAACTTTATGCATTACCGTAAGCATAGTTGCTTGAAAACGTAGTGAATTTCCTAAAAAGCTAACAATTTTATATGCAAGCATAGTGGCCAAACACTAACTCAATGCAAAGGAGTATTAAATCTGTTTCTTTAAAGGTATGATTTTAAAACAAAACCCTTTTCTATTTATTGTCTCAGTCTGTATACATTTGAAAAGAAAACTTAATAATCTGGTGCTTAAGAAGGTTTATAAAAGAGCATGTGAATGCCCAGTTTAGATAATTGTGCAATTCACAATGCAGTATAATTAAAAGTGAAAGTGATCTTATTCAACATACGACTGCATGTACGGACATGAATTATCATCTGCATATACATATATGTGTTCTCTTTCACACACCTACCACTTTTCACACAACATACATACATATACAATACAAAGCATAGTCTTACCCAAGATTTTCAAGGTCAAAAATGCGATTCAGGTCACAGTCAATATATCTGGTACACTTCTTCACTGCTCTGGGGTTAGTAATAAATGGTTTTACCTCCAGCCCTGTTCTCTGAATCTCAGCGCCATTCTCTAGCCAATGCTTAACCAGAAATACTCCGGTTAGCTCATTCCCATGGGTTCCTCCAAAGATAGCAACCTTTTGTATATGTTCTTCAGCAATGTGACAAGAAGTCATTTCACCAAGTAGTTTTTATCTGATTTCTGCAATTCAGAAGAGAGATCAAAGGAAATTCGATTTTCTTAAGAAAGGTTTAGAAATGTAAATGAGACTTTACCCAAAGGGCAAAGTACAGAATTCCCTTGAGTGGAGTATATTTTAATTTTCTGTTACAAGTTCTGAGCCCCGTTTATGGACACTCCCTTCTTTAGCCCTGCCCTTTGCCATATTTGGATTAAAATATGCAAAGATCAACTAGAGATACAGCTGTTTACTTTAACTTCTAACTCCCTCAGATGGTCAGTAGATCTAAATACAGTAATAAATTAGCATTTCATACTAATACAAAAATTCCATTCTTTTCCTCAGCTAGGATGTCATCCAGTGAGGCTTTCACAATTATCTGTAATAATAAAAATAGTTTATACGTTTCTAATTTCACAAAATAAAAAAGTGGCCCACTCAGTATTTCCACGGGCATTTCAAAACATTTCTTCTCTGAAATGAGTTCAAGCACTTTTCATGATCTGAGGGCATTTGAATCTCACCTCTATAAACAGCCAAAGGCTGACCCTCAGAGACCTCCTCTTGAACCGGCGCCCATTCTTTCAGAATGCTTTTTCACAATCAGAAACAGAAGGGCCAAATCAATGATCACTTGGGACTCGAAAAGCTACCCTGAAACATCCCTTCATTTCTTTCTCATGAGGTTTTTGGTAATTCTGTGTTAACTTACTTATGAATCTTCCTCATTTTTTGCCTAAATACCAAAGGAAAGACAACTGTTAGTACTTTTCAAGTTTTTGTGATGCCTGAAAATGTCTTGGGACACACTGCATGTGCTAACCACATCATGTGAACTTACATAGACACAGCCTTATTCACTGTCAGCGGGGACTCTCCACTGGACTGTGTTACTCAAAAAGGGGTCTTATTAGGGGAAATTTTCCAGAATACTAAGATGATTACATCCCTTTGGAGAAATGACTCTGAGCCAAATCTGATTTGATTTCATGCTCAGTCACCCAGAAAGTCACATATGTTCAAGTACTGGGAATACCATGTACTAGTAACGCCAGGTTGTTTGATAGAGGGTACAATAAGAGTAATTTATTACAATTGCAGAGTTTAATTTATAATGTCCTTTCACTCAGTTTATTCATACATTAATTTTATACGATAGGGTGGGTTAGGTGTTGACATCCCCACTGCAGGGGTAAACGAAAGAGAGGTTAAGTAACTCAGTTAAGGTTCTGCAGGGATGTAGGAGAACCTAGGCCTGAGACCCATGTTTCTCATCCCAAGTCTAGTGTTTTTCACAGGACAATAGGGTGCCTCTCTGTTATTTTTGGTCTTCTTCACAGTTCTAGTTTTGCTCTTTCAGAATTCACATAAACAGCCATTACAGTGTGCTCAGGAAACAAACATGCATACAAACCAAATACATGGTGGAAAAATAAAATATGAATGCTTCCTAATATTTAATAAACCCACTGAATGTTCTTCCTTTAAGAGCTTATAATGCAGAGATAGAGAAAGCAAAATAACCACATCAAATCTATGCATTAAAATGACTGTTCTAATAGAAAAAAAAAGCTCCTGTAGGCTTTGACTGTCTGTCCACATCCATGTACACTGAACACTTCAGACGGTGTAGAGATGATGAAAACACACGTAAAAGTAAACAGATGACAGTTGTTTAGTTGCTTTGGTTTTAAGAGCAGTAACCATGGTGAATTATTAACACTCTACTATGCTTGGTTTCTTTTCTGCTGATTTGTAGTTTGTTCTGTCCTTTGCCCTAGTCTCTCTGGAAATGCTGCTTCAGTTATTTACTCGTAGCTGGCACAAATGACTTGCATTTTGAAGCTTGTTTTATGGAATTTTAACAGATCAGCACTTTGAAGCACATTTCACATTCATAAATAAAGTTTCTCTTACATGTCAAAATGAATAACTTTTTTGAGAGTTAATGAATTGCAGCAATTATTTCCCATACTTACCTTGTTTTTTGTGTACAGAGTTTGTCTTCTGTGGAAAGCTTTATTAGGAAAAAGGAGAGCATTTCCTCAGAAGTAGAGCAACAGAGGCTTTTCATACTCTTATACCAAGTTAACTTCCGAAAGATTTTTAACTCCCTGTTTCCCAAAGTGTACTTGATTTTTGGGATGACCCAAAAAACCACACTTTTTTATTAGTTCTCAGCGAACTGATAGTATACGAAGTGAAACCCTTTCGAATTGTCACTATCTCATTATTAAGTTGAATATATAATATTCTGAAGTACTTAAAAGAGTAAGCATAACTTCCAGCATTACAAATGTTTTGTGGGATAGAGTTGCCTGATGTATTAATAAAATAATGTAGTTTAAAACAAAAGGATGCCAGGTGTGGTCTCATGCTTGTAATCCCAGCACTTTGGGAGGCCGAGGTGGGCGGATCACCTAAGGTCAGGAGTTCGAGACCATCCTGGCCAACATGGTGAAACCCCGTCTCTACTAAAAATACAAAATTACCTGGGCGTGGTGGCGGGTGCCTGTAATCCTAGTTACTCAGGAGGCTGAGGCAGGAGAATCACTTGAACCTAGAAGGCGGAGGTTGCAGTGAGCTGAGATTGTGCCATTGCACTCCAACCTGGGGAACAAGAGCGAAACTCCGTCTCAAAAACAAAACAAAACAAAACAAAAGGAGAGCAGAGTTTTACTTCACAGTCATGGCTGTCCAGTAGATCCCTGCCAGAAATTTTGTAGGAGACAAATTTAAGGTGGGTTGTTTCCCAAATGGTATGACTGGGGGATAAGAAGGGTTTTTTGTTAAATATTATACATAAGATGTCTCATACATAATGTGATGTTCAGTAGTTATGTAATCAAACTACTTTTACTACTTTAGTTTTCTCCTTCCCTGTGATCCATCCTGACCAACTTTCCAGGTGGAAATAAATAAGCAGAAAAAGACAAGTATAAAACAGATTAAGTTTATAAACTGCTAGCAAATATTCTATATTGCTCATGTCTGCAGTCCCTACAGAAGTAATCGGCTTAAGGTGGTTTTTTTTTTTTTTTTTTAATGAAAAATCTATTTTTGGGGTGGGTGGGTGTGTGTTGTAAATGTATGCACATCCGTATGTAGATATCAAGTCAAAATCTGCTTCCCTGAAGCTTCTATTCATGTTTTGGGTAACTCCTCTCTGGAACCATGATAAATAACAAGTTTTATTTTTATTGTTCAAGTCTTCTTCTTCCCAAAATAAAAGATGGCCCTATTCCTTGAAAGCTGTTCCTTACTCTGGCATTCAAGGTCTGCTATTATCTGGTCTCAGTCTACATCTAATATTATTTTCTAACACTCTTCTTTACTTGAGATAGTTTTAAAGCAACTACTAAAATGTCTGTGGTCTTATAGGCCTAGGCCTTTACTAACAATCTTCCTTTCATCTCTAAGCCCTTCCCTATCCCAGTCTTCAAATGGTTAGAAGATACGGTAACAACAAAACATGGGCTTTGAACTCAGACAGCTCTAGAATCCACTACCTGGCCCATAGTAAGTTCCGGATAAATGGCAGCTACTGTTACTCAAATTAAATAAGGGCTAACAGTTACTGGGCATTTACTGTGTGCCAGGATTGTCTATTTCATCTTCTAGTATTTTTAGGGCGATTGTTGTTATTGTTCTTTTACTGGTAGGTCCAGAGGGTGTTCAGTAAGTAACTTGCCCAAGGTCACAGGGCCAGGAATCCACAGTCCTCTTTGCCAGGAAGCCTGGAGCTCAACGCCCAGGGTCGCACACCACGCGGCTTCCCCTGCAGAGCGTCTCTGCGGCTCACGGGCGCTTCCCTCCCGCAAGCTCCCGCAGCCCCGGCGCTGCCTCGCTGACGGCTCTCCGCCTTCCATGGCCGCCATCTGAACCTGGGCTTCAGCTCTGTCCCCAGCCTCCCGGGGACTCAGATTCCCTGACCCTGATCCGACCCAGAAATTGAGCCAGACACCTCGGGTGGCCTTCGAGTCAATCTCTGGGCACACTCTGGGTGGCCACCAGCATCTAACAAACGGATGTCTGGACCCTAAGGGCCAGGGGGTGAGGGGAAGTGGGGCACACTTTTTAGACGATGGTGGGGCTGAGGCCGGTTGGGCAGGAGATCTGCCTCTGTCTCTCCAGTCACAGGACAGTCTCCTTTCCTCTCTGGGCAAAACTCTAAGGAGCTGGAGCCATCCCTGGGTCCACAGTGTGAGAACGCCAAGGAAGAGCGTTAACGTCATCGCGCCCGGCCAAGGGCGGCCAGGCAGGCAGCGAAGATGCCATCGCGCCGAGGTGGCGGCCACTGCGCCTGCGCGGTCCACGGCGCCTGCGAACAGCCTGATTCCCGCGCTTTCTTCGCGGGCGGGAAGGGCGGCGGTTGCTGACGGGGCCGCCTGGACGACGGTTGACGGAGGCGAGGGAAACTGAGGGCGAAAGTTGTGTGTCGTGTTGGCAGGAGGGCCTAGAAGGGAAAGACTGTGCGTTGATACCAAACTGCCCCCACTCCGTGGGCGGGTCAGGAGAGGCCTTTGGAAGAGCGTCTCAACTCGGACTGGAGCCTCTTCTCTCCCACCGCGGTCAGGAGCCAAAACAGGCCGCCATTTGAGGCCGTGGTTTTTGTGGGTGGTGTGTGTGTGTGTGCGTGCAGATTGAGCACACTTTTTGCACACCAATGCCACCAACCCCATTACTAACGCCACTTAGGTCCATTTGGGAGCTGGGATTGGGGGTAAATGAGGGTCCCCGCCCTCAGGATCAATGGTCCCGCGGGTGGAATGTTACACTTAAAAATTTTGTTGTTGTTTATTCTGTTTGTTTGATCCTGAGAAACATAATAGCCCTCGTAAGCCCCTCTAAATATAGGATGTGAGTTGCGCCGGTGGAGAAAGTGGCAGAATCCCTGTTGTGGCTCCTAGGATGGCGCCAAGAATATTTTCCTTTCCTTTCCTTTCCCTTCCTTCCTTCCTTCCCTTCCCTCCCTCCCTTCCTCCCTCTCTCCATTTTTTCCCTAGAGTCTCGCTCTGTCGCCCAGGCTGGAGTGCAGTGGCGTGATCTCGGCTCACTGCAACCTCCGCCTCCCGGGTTCAAGTGATTCTCCTGTCTCAGCCTCCAGGGTAGCTGGGATTACAGGCACGCACCACCATGCCCGGCTAATTTTTGTATTTTTAGTAGAGACGGGGTTTCACGTTGTTGGTCAGGCTGGTCTTGAACTCCCGACCTCAGGTGACCCACTTGCCTTGGCCTCCCGAAGTGCTGGGATCACAGGCATGAGCCACTGCACCTGGCCACCAGGAATATTTTCTAAAGGGTCCATCTCTTCTACCCAGCTTCAAGCCTAAGATGTGGAAACAAAACAGAGGCAGCACCTGACCTCGTGTTTCCCAAGTTGTTTTTTTTTCTTTTTTTTTTGAGACGGAGTCTCGCTCTGTCGCCCAGGCTGGAGTGCAGCGGCACGATCTCCGCTCACTGCAACCTCCGCCTCCCGAGTTCATGCCATTCTCCTGCCTCAGCCTCACGAGTAGCTGGGACCACAGGTGCCTGCCACCACGCCCGGCTAATTTTTTTGTATTTTTTAGTAGAGACGGGGTTTCCCTCTGTTAGCCAGGATGGTCTTGATCTCCTGATCTCGTGATCCGCCCGTCTCGGCCTCCCAAAGTGCTGGGATTACAGGCGTGAGCCACTGCACCCGGCCTGTTTCCCAAGTTTTATTTTTACAAACGATATTTGAAAGTTAACACCTCGGCCTGACTTGCATTATTGCTTAGTTGTGTATGTGTCGGTCTGTCTGTCTCATTGGGTTGTGAATTTGGAACAGAAGTTACCTGGTTTGGGTTTGTATCTTGCCTCTTCTTGCAGTGGGCAAGTGTTCGTTGTATTAGATTGGGGATGAAATGTGTTAAGGGGCTAAACGTGCAAAATTACAAGAGAAATTCTATTGTAAAAGAAGAAAACTAAGGAAAAACTTGTTTCACTTGTTGAAGTTGTGGAAATGGAGTGGAAACTTGTCATTACAATTATTCTAGATATGAAGGGAGGACTTAGTCTTTTTTTTTTTTTTTTTTTTTTGAGATGGAGTCTGGGTCTTGTTGCCCAGGCTGGAGTGCAGTGGCACGATCTCAGCTCACTGCAACCTCGGCCTCTCGGGCTCAAGCGATTCTCCTGCCTCGGCCTCCCGAGTAGCTGGGATTACAGGCGCCCGCCACCACTCCTGGCTAATTTTGTATTTTTAGTAGAGATGGGCTTTTGCCATGTTGGCCAGGCTGGTCTTGAACTCCTGACCTCAGGAAGACTTAGTCTTTGATATTATATAATCCAGGCATTTCAAACTGATGCAAAGGCAGATGTCCTGCACAATGCCTTAAAGTGGGGCATGGAGGAAGTTCCCGGTGGCTAAATACTGTGTTTCCTCCTTGGCCTTGGAAGCATGTACGTTTGCCAACGCTGTGGTCCATTTTCCTCTTTGTAGGTGTGGTTCAGAATTCTCTTTGTGGGTGCGGGATTCTGAAATAAATTACATATACTGTGTGAAAAAATGCACATATGTTTACGAAGCAAGGTTACAGTTGCCCTAGTCATAACTTAATTTGAACAGGGTTGGAAAAGTGGATTATGGTGTAAACTCTTAGAAAGCAAAGGACTCCCTAAAGTGTTTACGTGATCAGGTTTGAAAGTAGTTTACAACCATAATTTCAGTAATCACTGGGCTGAGGATTGGGTTTTATAGTTGAGACAATACGAGTTATAAGTTTCTTTCTTTGCAGGTCTAGTGGGACAATGTCATATTATAAATTTGGAATGCTGAATAGAAAATTATAGATTTTGATATTGAAGGAAATGAAGCGAAGCCTAAATGAAAATTCAGCTCGAAGTACAGCAGGTATTGAACAACTTTTTATTTTTAAATTTTCTGTATAGCATATAAAGCTTGTATAGTTTATAGATATAACATTGGAAATAAATTTAAAATAGATTGAACAGTTAATCTAGCCTCTTTACTTTTTAGGTCCAAGGAAGTAAAATAACTTACTCAAGACAAAACATTTAGTGGTAGAGGTGGGAGTAAGATCAAAGTTTCTTAGATTTATTTTGATATTCTTTCTACAAATTCGATGTGCTTGAGTTATTCTATGCTTTAAAACTGAAAACAAAGAAATAGATCTATTTTTGTTTGTATTTGTGACTTACTTGTTAAAAATATTTCCGGAAGCACTTCTGTCTTTCTAATAGCTTCTCCTATCATTTTTGCTTTCCCAATTTATTAGTATAAAGACAGATGGCAAGGATGATGAGAACCAGGGGAATGATGATGCATAATGAAGATAATAGTAACTATTATTTATGGTGGATTAACTGTATTCAAGACATTAATTATATATATTAATTTATTTAATCTTTACACCAATACCCTGAGATAGGTTATTATAATCATTTCTGTTGTTCAGATGAGAAAAACAAGGCTAAAAGAGGTTAAATAAGTAATCCATGAAGTAGCAGAATCAGAATTTGAACCTAGGAATCTGGCTCTTAGTCCATGCTCTTAATCATTATGCTATCAGTATATGTCATATTGGCACAAAGAGTTTAGGGAAATTGCCCAAGATCATACTCTGAAATTGTAATTCAAACCTACTTTGAAGTCATAATTCAAGACCTAGGCGGTCTGATTCCAGAGCCCACATAATTCTCCCAGCCTTTCATCAGAGACTGTTCACAGAGTCTGTATTTGCCTGTAGAACAATTGATGATGACCAGTTAGAGAATGGTACAGTGGCAAGAGATCCAAACTGATATTTAGGAATCTTGTGTCCTATCTAGATTCTTCCACTGACTTGCTCTATAGCAATGCACAAGCTTTTTGAACTTCTTTTCCCTTCGAGTTCCCTAAGTTTCAAAGTTTATATTTTGTGACTTTTGACCTGAATTGAGATCCTAGATCCGCCATCTGGAGGAATCGGTAGTAGTATTTATTCTCATTTGGACTGGATATTATTACTCTTTAAGGCATTCTCAAAATGATCCACAAAATATATAATTACAGATACCCGAGGTGCTTGTTAAAATTGCAGAGTTTTGAGTTCCAGGCTAAATCTGTTGAAATAAAATCTATGAGAGTGGAGTCTAGGAACTGCACATTAAGCAGAATTCCAGATAAATCTTAGTCCAATGAAACTTTGAGAACCAAGGCCCAAAAGGGTGTGCCACTATTGTCCAAAGCATGGTTCAGAGTTTGGTTCTTCCTCACCTCTGTTGTACTTCAAAGGTCCCCTGCAGTCGATATGGTAACAGGCAAGCACAGGAGGGG
The DNA here is from genome assembly GCF_000001405.40 of Homo sapiens. NCBI lineage: Eukaryota > Metazoa > Chordata > Mammalia > Primates > Hominidae > Homo > Homo sapiens. The sequence goes on along the minus strand of NC_000017.11, from coordinate 3,467,857 downwards.
GATAAGGAAAACAAAAAGTGGATTTGGAAAGGTTGGGGGATGAGGGGGGAGATGGGAATTACTTCCATATGGGAGGAATTAAAACTGTTAGAGTAGAATAAGAAAAGTTTTTTGAAGAAACAAATTAGGCTATTCAGGATCTTAAAAAGAATGTAAAAATCATTCTAAGGTTATAGAAATCTATAAGTATATTAGCATATAGAAGTAGATAAATGTAAAGTGTGTATTATACTAGTAATTATTTTACAACTAGATCTGCTTATTTGTCTATTATGTACTAATTTATTGGTACATTCAATTTAGGCTGTTTGCCTGTTCCGTTGTTCAATCAGAAAAAGAGGAACAGACAGCCATTAACTTCTAATCCACTTAAAGATGATTCAGGTATCAGTACCCCTTCTGACAATTATGATTTTCCTCCTCTACCTACAGGTAAGAAAATTAATAAGGTAAAAATTTTCAGGAAATACAAAACTAGGATTATAGAAAATTGTAATTTATATTATAATGAAAATAGAAAGTTTATTTTTTCTTCTTTCCATTATCCACATATAGAAATTACATAGCACTTTCTGAACATTCCAGGTCAGGAGTTTAAGTTTCCTTATCTACAAGGGTGGCTTAGCATTTAAATGGAGTATCTTAGATTTGGAGTCTTTGTTCTAATAAAGTAGTAACATATATTGTAAAAAATATTTTTTCTTTGTCAAAATTCACGTGGATATTGTGTTATAGCCTATACATTTGGTGGTAAAGAATGGAAACACTTGAATTGCCTCAGGAGTGGGGATAAGTGTGCATGGGAACACAGGAAAAATGGGAAAAAAAAGATAGATTTTAGGAAGTGCAGATGCCTGGAAGTATCTGGTGCCTGGCCGTAGTCTTTTTCTCTTTTTATGGCATTTTTGCCTTCATTGATTTGTTAGCTGTTTATGGTCCAAATGTGATCCCCCCCAATTTATATGTTGAAACTTAATTGCTGGTGTGATAGTATTAAGATGTGGGGCCTTCAGGAGGTAATTAAGTCATGAGGGCAGAGCCCTCATGAATGAGATTAGTGACTTTATAAAAGGTATGAGGGAGCTTTTCCGTCCTTCTGTCATGTGAGGACACAGTAAGAAGCCTTGACTTCCCAGCCTCCAAAACTGAGAAATACATTTATCATATTTGTAAATAACCCGTTCTAAAGTATTTTGTTATAGTAGAGTCCAAAGGGACTAAGACACACCTTCATCCAGTTGGCTTCCTTACAGCTTCAACTGGCACATGAGCTAAGTTGCCCTTCCTGTGAGTTTGCATAACCTTTTAGTTCTAGTTCTCAGAGGTCACCAGTAGACTGCCCTCTGGATCTCTTAATTCACATCCTAGAGACAGCTTGTGATTCAGCTCATCTTTTAAGTAAGGCCACTGAAATCCTGGCTTAGGTTTGGGTTAGGCCTCTTACCTCTGAACCAGTTAGCTGAGGTTTGGTGGGTGCTGGGAGGTCTTAATGGTTGTTGTTGACTTTTTACTTTCCTCTGGAAGAGGAATGGGCAGGCAGACATTCTGAAGTATACGTGGTACATGCTGGTTATATACATTTACATTTTGGGGGCACATTTTAAAAATTAATAGGATCTTATATAGCTAGAATTTAAAAATATCTCTGATGTAGCAATACTTGTATTGTTAATTTCATCTAGTGTGCTCCCATAGACTTTAATATACTTCTAAATCTGTATTTTGTTTAAAGAAAACAAAATATATAAAAGATATATTTGAAGAAATTTAAGTGTGAAGTTCATATATTTCCAATTTTTGTGTATAAAAATCATAAATTCACATGGATATGCACAACTGGGCATTTATCTGGTCATACTCCACCATTTAAAAAACATTCCGTCATTTAAAATATTTTTATAAGTAGCATGAATGTTGACCTTGAAAAATTGAGCTACTCCATAAGGAAATGTGTGTCCTCCTGAAGTACTTCAAGCTCGGACCAGGGTTACTATTTGTCAGAAATAGTAGTTTTCCTGTATTGGGTAAGAGATAGGACTGCATCAGTGTTGTTTTTTTTTGTTTTTTAAATTTTTATTTTTATTGATCATTCTTGGGTGTTTCTCACAGAGGGGGATTTGGCAGGGTCATAGGACAATAGTGGAGGGAAGGTCAGCAGATAAACAAGTGAACAAAGGTCTCTGGTTTTCCTAGGCAGAGGACCCTGCGGCCTTCCGCAGTGTTTGTGTCCCTGGGTACTTGAGATTAGGGAGTGGTGATGACTCTTAACGAGCATGCTGCCTTCAAGCATCTGTTTAACAAAGCACATCTTGCACTGCCCTTAATCCATTTAACCCTGAGTGGACACAGCACATGTTTGAGAGAGCACAGGGTTGGGGGGTAAGGTCACAGATCAACAGGATCCCAAGGCAGAAGAATTTTTCTTAGTACAGAACAAAATGAAAAGTCTCCCATGTCTACTTCTTTCTACACTGACACGGCAACCATCCGATTTCTCAATCTTTTCCCCACCTTTCCCCGCTTTCTATTCCACAAAACCGCCATTGTCATCATGGCCCGTTCTCAATGAGCTGTTGGGCACACCTCCCAGACGGGGTGGTGGCCGGGCAGAGGGGCTCCTCACTTCCCAGTAGGGGCGGCCGGGCAGAGGCGCCCCTCACCTCCTGGACGAGGCGGCTGGCCGGGCGGGGGGCTGACCCCCCCACCTCCCTCCCGGACGGGGTGGCTGCCGGGCGGAGACGCTCCTCACTTCCCAGACGGGGTGGCTGCCGGGTGGAGGGGCTGACCCCCCACCTCCCTCCCGGACGGGGCGGCTGGCCGGGCTGGGGGCTGACCCCCCCACCTCCCTCCCGGACGGAGCGGCTGGCCGGGCAGAGGGGCTCCTCACTTCCCAGTAGGGGCGGCTGGGCAGAGGCGCCCCTCACCTCCCAGACCGGGCGGCTGGCCGGGTGGGGGGCTGACCCCCCCCCACCCCCCTCCCAGACGGGGTGGCTGCCGGGCGGAGACGCTCCTCACTTCCCAGACGGGGTGGCTGCCGGGCGGAGGGGCTCCTCACTTCTCAGACGGGGCGGCTGCCGGGCGGAGGGGCTCCTCACTTCTCAGACGGGGCGGTTGCCGGGCGGAGGGTCTCCTCCCTTCTCAGATGGGGCGGCTGGGCAGAGACGCTCCTCACCTCCCAGACGGGGTCGCGGCCGGGCAGAGGCGCTCCTCACATCCCAGATGGGGCGGCGGGGCAAAGGTGCTCCCCACATCTCAGACGATGGGCGGCCCGGCAGAGACGCTCCTCACTTCCTAGATGGGATGGCGGCCGGGAAGAGGCGCTTCTCACTTCCTAGATGGGACGGCGGCCGGGCAGAGACACTCCTCACTTTCCAGACTGGGCAGCCAGGCAGAGGGGCTCCTCACATCCCAGACGATGGGCGGCCAGGCAGAGACGCTCCTCACTTCCCAGACGGGGTGGCGGCCGGGCAGAGGCTGCACTCTGGGCACTTTGGGAGGCCAAGGCAGGCGGCTGGGAGGTGGAGGTTGTAGCGAGCCGAGATCACGCCACTGCACTCCAGCCTGGGCACCATTGAGCACTGAGTGAACCAGACACCGTCTGCAATCCCGGCACCTCCGGAGGCCGAGGCTGGCGGATCACTCGCGGTTAGGAGCTGGAGACCAGCCCGGCCAACACAGCGAAACCCGTCTCCACCAAAAAAATACGAAAACCAGTCAGGCGTGGCGGCGCGCGCCTGCAATCGCAGGCACTCGGCAGGGTGAGGCAGGAGAATCAGGCAGGGAGGTTGCAGTGAGCCGAGATGGCAGCAGTACAGTCCAGCTTCGGCTTGGCATGAGAGGGAGACCGTGGAAACAGAGGGAGAGGGAGACCGTGGGGAGAGGGAGAGGGAGAGGCAGAGGGAGAGGCAGAGGGAGAGGGAGAGGGAGAGGGAGAGGGAGAGGGAGAGGATCAGTGTTTTTTTAAAATGTTTGTCTTGATCCATTAATCAGTCTGAGGTATAATCGATCTTTGAAAAAAGAAATAGAAGAGAATAGAGTAGAATAGAAAATACAGCCATGCACTGCATAACCATGTTTTGGTCAATCACACCACCTGTGTGATGGTGGTGCCATTACAAATATAATGGAGCTGAAACATTTCTGTCTCCTGGTGACATAGTAGCTGTCATAATGTCATAGCACAGTTTATTTTTTTTTATAAATGTAGCCTAAATGTATGGTGTGTTTAGTGTACAGTAGTGTATACAGTAATGTCCTAGGCCTTCGTATTCACTCACCACTTAATCACTAACTCACCCAAAGCAACTTTCAGTCCTGCAAGCTCCATTTATGGTAAGTGCCCTCTTAGGTGTATTGGTTTTTATCTTTTATATTATATTTTTACTGTACCTTTTCTATGTTTAGATATGTTTAGATACACAAATACTATTATGTTACAATTGCCTGTGGTATTGAGTACAGTAACATGTTGCACAAGTTTGTAGCCTAGGAACAATAGGCTGTAACATATAGCCTAGGTGTGTAGCAAGCTGTACTCTCCAGCTTTGTGTAAGTACACTCTATGTTGTTTGCACAACAAACTCACCTAACAATGCATTTCTTAGACTGTATCCCTGTCATTAAGTGACACATGACTGTGTCAGTGTGTATCACACATATTAAGGATAAGATTTGATGAAGTTTTATATTCTTTTTTCTCCTCTCTATCTCTGTCTCACACATATATCATGCATGTATATGTTCTGAGTTATGATGTATTTCTTTCTGTGGGTGAGATTTTAAAAGTTCAGTAAACATTGGATTAGATGAAATTCATGTTACAAAGTTAAAGATACTATACTAGAACTGATTGTAGAAAAGATACAGATTAAATTATCTTTGCTTAAAATACAATGGATAAGAAAGACATCTATAAAAATTAATAAAGCAGGCTGTGACAGGTTTTCCAACAAGTACTGTTGAAGAAATCCATATATTCAAGTTTTTTCTTCTTCAAGTTTTTAAACCCTCCAAATTAAATAAGTATGAATTTATCATTTTGAAAAATACTACCTATCTTACTTTTATCTATGTTACTTATATCTTTTGAGATTGGGCCTGGGAAGCTGTGAATCCAGAGTTGGCTCCTGTAATGAAAACAGTGGACACCGGGTATGTGGAGAAATATAAACCATTGGATGTGTGTCTGTTACTAACTGATGTTGTTCTTCTACGTATATCTTAATTTCTCAATTTGAAAGCAAACTATTAATATTTAACAAGACATATTCCCTTGAAAGGCAAATACCACATTCAGTTTCTCGTCCTCTGAGAAGTCAAGATTCTGTCTTTAACTCTATTCAATCAAATACTGGAAGAAGCCAGGGTGGTTGGAGGTGAGTCTACTTAAAATTTCTTTCTTCTTCTATTCCTTCTCATTTTCCTGTCTTCCTCTTCATTCTTCCCTCCTCCTTCACTTCGTTGTTTCTCAGACAGAATTACATTTAGGAAATTTCTATAAATAACAACTATGGCAGTATTAATTATGTTTTATGAAAGAGCTTAAGAGAACATGCATGTAAAACTTAAAAAATATGTAAATTTCACAGTGATTATGCTTCAAAAGATTCTTAATATGACAATGAAATTTCTGCCAATATTCATTGCTATGAATTTATGATTTTGCTTATGGGTTATTAATGATTTAATTGACAATAGACAGGAATCATATCTTAGTATTGATTATATTTAGGACTTGAGAACCAATTAGAGTGCTCAGTCTTATCCTGTAAGACAGCCGGCTTCAAGGTAAACGGAATGGCAGAAGAAAGAAAAATGGAGGCTGTGATGCATATGCATCTGCAATAGTAGGGGCTCAAGAAATGAAGAAGCTGGTCAAAAAGATGGTGAGGGTTCTTGCCATAAGGACCAAAGCTTAATGTTTAAATAGTATGAAAAAATTGATAGAAAAAGAACATGGATTTCTCTTGGTTGGATTTTAGTAGCCTTGGATAAATGGCAATATAGAAGGAAATGATTTTGGAAACAAAGTGCTGGGAAAACAACACCAAATCAGTCACTGTTAAGTGCTTTGATATGTTATTTCAATAATCCTTACAACAACCATATGAAGTTAATACTATTCTCATTTTTATTATATAAAGATATCGTATTTTTTTAAAAGGGGGAACTTTTTATATAGTTGTTAATAAATACATTGAAATAATATCTTTATTTAAAAATTAGTTTTGATTTTATTATTCATGCTAGTTTCCCCAGGACCAGTCTGTCAGTTTCTTCATAACAAGGCCTTAAAACTAGGCCTGTTCAGTGGTTTGGGATGGTTCTTAGAGACATTGTTCCAACTGCAGGAGCTAGAAGAAAATCCATTCTGACAAGCATTAGACAGATAATTAGGTAAACAGATTGTAATCTGGACAGGCAGCCAGTATTGGATATTACAATTTGAATTAATACATGAGCTGTCAGACTGTTGGAATACAACAGGAAATCCAGGAGTACAGAACATTTAAAAATCCATGCAGGCAGTTGGTAATCTGCTGAAGATCTTTTGAACCAGTTAAAGGACTAATCTTCAGGTTTAGAGTCCAGGCTACAGTTGCCAGATTTAGCAAATAAAAATAAAGGATGCCCAGTTAAATCTGAATTTCAGGTAATCAGGAATTTTTTAGTATGTGTCACAGCCAATATTTGGGACATACTTATACCAAAAATTTGTTACTTACTTGAAATGCAAATTTAACTGGCCATCCTGTATTGTTTCTAGCAGCCTAGTCTATACTTTCTTGGGGCATGGAGTTTTCAAGAGCAAAGTACACTCCTATTCTTATAGATACTGTGTTATTAGATACATTATCAATATAGATTTCATTCACCAGTATTAGGATATGGACAATTAGTAAGATTAGTAAGGATGAGCTTCTTTGCCAAAGCCCCTACAATTGGCTTTAGACTCTGAGGAGACATTGAGCTTGTACTTTTAGTAGTTAAGACATCTCAGTTGAGGAGTTGAGGTGATATGAGGACTTTTAACATTTTTAATCTTTTTTTTTTTTTTTTTTTTTTGAGACTGGATCTTGCCATGTTGCCCAGGCTGGAGTGCAGTGGCATGATCATAGCTCATTGCAACCTTGAACTCCTGGGCTTAAACAATCCTCCTACCTCAGCCTCCTGAGTAGGCGGGACTGACTATAGGTTTGCACCACCATGCCTGGCTTATTTTTACATTTTTAGTAGAGATGAGGCCTTGCTGTGTTGCCCAGGCTGGTCTTGAACTCCTGGGCTCAAGTGATTCCCTCACCTCAGCCTCCCAAAGTGCTGGGATTACAGGCATACACTATTGTGCTCGGTGAGATGAAGGCTTTAGAAGCTGAGAACTGAACACAACCTGGCAAACGGGTTCAGATAAATGCATAAATTTTAAGGGAAGATAAGGATATTATTTTTTTCTAAAATAACTTACTATTCTCATTATGAAAATAATAGAATAATTCTAGAAAAAAGGTAAAAAGAAAATTATTCATAGTTGCACTGATCCAGAGTTAATCATTAATTTATTTTTGAACAGAAAAAAGCCATTTCACCTTTTTTGAGTCTTATGTCTTTATCCATGGGAAAAAAATTGAACTAGATGATATCTAAGGTTCCTTCAGTGCTCAATATATATTGTGGATAAAACACACAGTTCTGATGTATTTATATAACTTTGTGCTGTCTTGTCTATCATTACCAAGAAAACCCTTGATTAAGGATTTTACAAATACATGAATTTATCTAACGTGCTTGTGTGTGGAATACTTAGAATGCCTATTGCTCTGATTCACCCAGAATTGTTTTCTTATAACACATCATGTCTTTCAACCATTCTTGTTACACAGATCTATTATAAAAGTTTAATAATATAAAATAGTATATAACTTAAGTCAGTAATTCATAAAAGGAGGTGGCAGGCCCCCAATATCCATATAACTAAATTTTTAAACTTTTAGATCTCCTTCAACTTGCTCAGGATGGCCAAAGATATGAGGAATATTTTCTTTTGGACTTTATTTGCCTCTGGAACACTCTCTTGACAGTCTCATCTTTGTTAACAGTTCTGACTGCAGTTGAATATTGTATTTCTATTGTTATCTTAAAAAAATTTTAATTAGGGCCAGATGCAGTGGCTCACACCTGTAATCCCGGCACTTTGGGAGGCGGAGGCGGGCGGATCACTTGAGGTCAGTAGTTTGAGACCAGCCTGGCCAACATGGGGAAACCCCGTCTCTACCAAATAAATACAAAAATTAGCCAGGCGTGGTGGCGCATGCCTGTAATCCCAGCTACTTGGGAGGCTGAGGCAGTAGAATCATTGGAACCTGGGAGGTGGAGGTTGCAGTGAGCTGAGATCCTGCCACTGCACTCCAGCCTGGGTGACAAAGTGAGATCTTGTTTCAAAAAAAGTATTTTTTAAAAAAAATTATATATATTTAAGGTGTACAACCTGATATTTTAATATGCATATACATAGTGACCTGATTTCAGTCAAGCTAATTAACATATCCATCTCTTCACATAATTACCATTTTTTTCTTGTAGTGAGAACACTTAAGATCTACCTTCTAAGTGATTTTCATCTGTATAACACAGTATTATTAACTATAGTCCTCATGCTCTACATTAGATCTCTAGAATTTACTCATTCTATGTAACTGAAAGTTTGTACCCTTTGACTGACATCACCTTATTTCTCCCACCTCTTCACCCCTGGTAACCACTATTCTACGCTCTGCTTCTATGAGTTTGATTTGTAAAGATCCCACACATTCTTTCTGTGTCTGACTTATTTCACTTAGCATAACATCCTCTAGGTTCATCCATGTTGTCAAAAATGGCAGGATTTACTTCTTTTTAATGTCTGAATAGTATTCCGTTATCTCTTTATGATACATTTGTTAGTCCATTTATCTGTCACTTGCATTGTTTACGTATCTTGGAATTTTTTTTTTTTTTTTTTTTTTTTTGTGAAGTTTCGCTCTTGTTGCCCAGGCAGTGGCAACAAGACAATGTGAGTGCAATGGTGTGGTCTTGGCTCACTGCAACCTCCACCTCCTGGGATCAAGTGATTCTCCTGCCTCAGCCTCTCGAGTAACTGGGATTATAGGCATGTGCCACTATGCCTGGCTAATTTCGTATTTTAGTAGAGATGGGGTTTCACCATGTTGGCCAGGCTGGTCTCCAACTCCTGACCTCATGTGATCCACCTGCCTCAGCCTCCCAAAGTGCTGGGATCACAGGTGTGAGCCACCGTGCCTGGCCCTCTTGGCTATTGTGAATAATACTGCAATGAATCTGGAAATGCAGATATCTCTTTGAGATACTAATTTCATTTCCTTTGGATATACATCCAGAAGTGGAATTGTTAGATTATATAGTAGTTCTGTTTTTAATTTTTTGAGGAACTTCCATACTGTTTTTCATAATGGCTGTATCAAGTTACATTTCCACCAAGAGTGTACAAGGATTGCCTTTTTTCTGCACCCTCGCCAACACTTGTTATCTTTTGAATTTTTGATGACAGCTATCCTAACAAGTGTGAATTGATAATATATCATTGTAGTTTTGATTTGCATTTTCCTGCTGATTAGTGATGTTGAGTACCTTTTTATATACCTGTTGGCCATCTGTGTGTCTTCTTTACAAAAATGTCTATTTAGGTTCTTTGCCCATCTTTAAATTGTGTTGTTTTTTGTTACTGAGTTCTGTGAATTCCTTAAATATTTTGGATATTAACTACTTAACAGTTACATAGTTTGCCAAAATTTTCTCCCATGCTATAGATTGCCTTTTCACTCTGTTGATTATTTCCTTTACTGTGCAGAAGCTCTTTAGTTTGATGTAGTTCTCAAATATTTCCTTTTGCTTTTGTTGACTGTGCTTTTGGTGTCATATTAAAAAAAGTCATTTGCAAGACCAGTGTCAAGGAGCTTGTTCTCTGCGTTTTTTCCTAAGAGTTTTATGGTTTCAGTTCTTACATTTAAGTCTTTAATCCATGTTGAGTTGATTTTTGTATATGGTGTAAGGTGAGAGTTCAGTTCCATTATTCTGCATCTGGATATCCAGTTTTTCCAACACTATTTATGGCAGAGACTTTTTTTCTCATTGTGTGTTCTTCTCACTTTTGTTGAAAATCAATTAAATGTAAATGCATGGGTTTATTTCTGGGCTCTCTATTCTGTTGATCTATGTGCCTGTTTTAATACCAGTACCATACTGTTTTGATTACTGTAGCTTTTAGGTATAACTTGAAATCAGGAAGTGTGATGGCTGCAGCTTTATTCTTTCTCAAGATTGTTTTGGCTATTCAGAGTCTTTTGTGGTTCCATATGAATTTTAGGATTGTTTTTTCTATTTCTGTGAAAAACATCATTGAAATTTTGATAGGGATTGCATTGAGTCTGTAGATCACTTTGGGTAGTTTGGACATTTAACAATATCAATTCTTGTACATTGATTTTGTATCCTGAGACTTTGCTGAAGTTGCTTATCAGCTTAAGGAGATTTTGGGCTGAGACAATGGGGTTTTCTAGATATACAATCATGTCGTCTGCAAACAGGGACAATTTGACTTCCTCTTTTCCTAATTGAATACCCTTTATTTCCTTCTCCTGCCTAATTGCCCTGGCCAGAACTTCCAACACTATGTTGAATAGGAGTGGTGAGAGAGGGCATCCCTGTCTTGTGCCCATTTTCAAAGGGAATGCTTCCAGTTTTTGCCCATTCAGTATGATATTGGCTGTGGGTTTGTCATAGATAGCCCTTACTATTTTGAGATACATCCCATCAATACCTAATTTATTGAGAGTTTTTAGCATGAAGGGTTGTTGAATTTTGTCAAGGGCCTTTTCTGCATCTATTGAGATAATCATGTGGTTTTTGTCTTTGGCTCTGTTTATATGCTGGATTACATTTATTGATTTGCGTATATTGAACCAGCCTTGCATCCCAGGGATGAAGCCCACTTGATCATGGTGGATAAGCTTTTTGATGTGCTGCTGGATTCGGTTTGCCAGTATTTTATTGAGGATTTTTGCATCAATGTTCATCAAGGATATTGGTCTAAAATTATCTTTTTTTGTTGTGTCTCTGCCCGGCTTTGGTATCGGGATGATGCTGGCCTCATAAAATGAGTTAGGGAGGAATCCCTCTTTTTCTATTGATTGGAATAGTTTCAGAAGGAATGGTACCAGCTCTTCCTTGTACCTCTGGTAGAATTCGGCTGTGAATCCATCTGGTCCTGGACTCTTTTTCATTGGTAAGCTATTGATTATTGCCTCAATTTCAGCTCCTGTTATTGGTCTATTCAGAGATTCAACTTCTTCCTGGTTTAGTCTTGGGAGAGTGTATGTGTTGAGGAATTTATCCATTTCTTCTAGATTTTCTAGTTTATTTGTGTAGAGATGTTTGTAGTATTCTCTGATGGTAGTTTGTATTTCTGTGGGATCGGTGGTGATATCCCCTTTATCATTTTTTATTGCGTCTATTTGAGTCTTCTCTCTTTTTTTCTTTATTAGTCTTGCTAGCGGTCTATCAATTTTGTTGATCCTTTCAGAAAACCAGCTCCTGGATTCATTAATTTTTTGAAGGGTTTTTTGTGTCTCTATTTCCTTCAGTTCTGCTCTGATTTTAGTTACTTCTTGCCTTCTGCTAGCTTTTGAATGTGTTCGCTTTTTCTTTTCTAGTTCTTTTAATTGTGAAGCATTCTTATACACCAATAACAGACAAACAGAGAGCCAAATCATGAGTGAATTCCCATTCACAATTGCTTCAAAGAGAATAAAATACTTAGGAATCCAACTTACAAGGGACGTGAAGGACCTCTTCAAGGAGAACTACAAATCACTGCTCAATGAAATAAAAGAGGATACAAACAAATGGAAGAACATTCCATGCTCATGGGTAGGAAGAATCAATATCGTGAAAATGGCCATACTGCCCAAGGTAATTTTAGATTCAATGCCATCCCCATCAAGCTACCAATGACTTTCTTCACAGAATTGGAAAAAACTACTTTAAAGTTCATATGGAACCAAAAAAGAGCCCGCATCGCCAAGTCAATCCTAAGCCAAAAGAACAAAGCTGGAGGCATCACGCTACCTGACTTCAAACTATACTACAAGGCTACAGTAACCAAAACAGCATGGTACTGGTACCAAAACAGAGATATAGATCAATGGAACAGAACAGAGCCCTCAGAAATAACGCCGCATATCTACAACTATCTGATCTTTGACAAACCTGAGAAAACCAAGCAATGGGGAAAGGATTCCCTATTTAATAAATGGTGCTGGGAAAACTGGCTAGCCATATGTAGAAAGCTGAAACTGGATCCCTTCCTTACACCTTATACAAAAATTAATTCAAGATGGATTAAAGACTTAAACATTAGACCTAAAACCATAAAAACCCTAGAAGAAAACCTAGGCATTACCATTCAGGACATAGGCATGGGCAAGGACTTCATGTCTAAAACACCAAAAGCAATGGCAACAAAAGACAAAATCGACAAATGGGATCTAATGAAACTAAAGAGCTTCTGCACAGCAAAAGAAACTACCATCAGAGTGAACAGGCAACCTACAAAATGGGAGAAAATTTTCGCAACCTGCTCATCTGACAAAGGGCTAATATCCAGAATCTACAATGAACTCCAACAAATTTACAAGAAAAAAAAACCCCATCAAAAAGTGGGCAAAGGATATGAACAGACACTTCTTAAAAGAAGACATTTATGCAGCCAAAAGACACATGAAAAAATGCTCATCATCACTGGCCATCAGAGAAATGCAAATCAAAACCACAATGAGATACCATCTCACACCAGTTAGAATGGCGATCATTAAAAAGTCAGGAAACAACAGGTGCTGGAGAGGATGTGGAGAAATAGGAACACTTTTACACTGTTGGTGGGACTGTAAACTAGTTCAACCATTGTGGAAGTCAGTGTGGCGATTCCTCAAGGATCTAGAACTGGAAGTACCATTTGACCCAGCCATCCCATTACTGGGTATATACCCAAAGGACTATAAATCATGCTGCTATAAAGACACATGCACACGCATGTTTATTGCGGCACTATTCACAATAGCAAAGACTTGGAACCAACCCAAATGTCCAACAATGATTGACTGGATTAAGAAAATGTGGCACATATACACCATGAAATACTATGCAGCCATAAAAAATGATGAGTTCATGTCCTTTGTAGGGACATGGATGAAATTGGAAATCATCATTCTCAGTAAACTATCGCAAGGACAAAAAACCAAACACCGCATGTTCTCACTCATAGATGGGAATTGAACAATGAGAACACATGGACACAGGAAGGGGAACATCACACTCTGGGGACTGTTGTGGGGTCGGGGGATGGGGGAGGGATAGCATTAGGAGATATACCTAATGCTAAAGATGAGTTAATGGGTGCAGCACACCAGCATGGCACATGTATACATATGTAACAAACCTGCACATTGTGCACATGTACCCTAAAACTTAAAGTATAATAATAATAATAAAAATAAATAAATAAATAAAACAAAAAACAATATCAATTCTTCAAATCCATGACACAGGATTTTTCATTTATTTTGTCTTCAGGTTTTTTTTTTTTAATCTGTTTTATATTTTTTAGTGTATAGACCTTTCTCTATCTTGGTCATTTATTCCTAAGTATTTTATTCTTTTTGGTGTTATTGTAAATGGGATCATTCTCTTGGTTTCCTTTTGGAATATCTATTGTTGGTGTAAAGAAATGCTCCTGATTTTTGTATGTTGATTTTGTATCCTGCAATTTTACTGAATTCATTTTTTAGTTCTAACAGTTTCTTAATGGAGTTTTTAGGGTTTTCTACATACAAGATCATGTCATCTGCAAACAGAGACATTTACTTCATCCTTTCCAATTTGCGCTCCTTTTATTTCCTTTTCTTGGCTAATTGATTGGCTAGGACTTCCAAGACTAGTTGAGTATTACTTGTCTGAAATATTTGGGATCAGAAATGTTTCAGATTTTTTTGTAGTTTGGAATATTTTCAGAATACCTACCAGTTGAGTATCCTAAATTTGAAAATTCAAAATCTGAAATGCTTCAGTGAGCATTTCCATTGAGCATCATGTTGTTGCTCAAAAAGTTTCAAATTTTGGAGCATTTCGAGTTTTGGATTTTCAGATTTAGAATGCCCAGCCTGTAACTATGTTTGAATAGAAGTGGTGAGAGTGGGCATCCTTGCGTCGTACTGGATCTTTGAAAAAAAACTTTCAGTTTTCCCCCATTATGATGTTAGCTGTGGGAATTTTGCAAATGACCTTTATTGTGTTGGAGTATGTTCCTTCTATACTTATTTTTTTTAGAGTAAACTGAATGGATGTTGAACTTTGTCAGATGCTTTTTCTGCATCTATTTTTGTCTTTAATTCTGCTACTGTGGTGTATAACATTGATTGATTTGCGTATGTTAAACCAACCTTGCATCCCAGAAATAAATCCCAGTTAATCATGGTGTATAATTTTGTTAAAAAATATTTCAACTTTCACTTTAAATATAAGCGGTACATGTGCAGATTTGTTTACATGGGAATATTGTGTGATGCTAAGGTTTGAAGTATGGATCCTGTCACCTCACCCATGAAGTGAACAGAGTACTCGACAGGTAATTTTTTTGATGTGCTGTTGAATTTGCCTTGCTAGTATTTATTGAGGATTTTTGCATGTATGTTCTTTAGTGATATTGGCCTGTAGTTTTCTAGCAGTGTCTTTGTTTGATTTTGATATCAGAGTGATGCTAGTCTCATAAAATGAATTTGGAAGTGGAATTCCCTCTTGTTTTATGAAAGAATTTCAGAAAGATTGGTATTAATTTGTCTTTGAATGTTTGATAGAATTCACTGTGAAGTCATCTGGTCCTGGGCTTTTCTTTGTTGAGAGGTTTTTGATTACTTCGTTAATCTCCTTATTATTGGTCTGTTTAGGCTTTCTGCCTCTTCTTGATTCAATCTTGGTAAGTTGCTTGTTTCTAGGTATTTATCCATTTCTTCTGTGTTATCCAATTTGTTGTCATATAATGTTCATAATAGTCCTTTATGATCTTTTTTATTTCTGAGAAATCCATTGTATGTCTCCTCTTTCATTTATTTAAATCTTCTTTTTTCTTTTTTTAGTCTATGTAAGGGGCTGTCGACTTTATCTTTTCAAAAAAATAAGCTCTTAGTTTTTCTTTTTTTTTCTTTTTGAGACGGAGTCTCACTCTGTTGCCAGGCTGGAGTGCAGTGGCACGATCTCGGCTCACTGCAACCTCCACTCTCGGGTTCAAGCAATTCTCCTGTCTCAGCCTCCCGAGTAGCTGGGACTACAGGCCTGCCCCACCATGCCCAGCTAATTTTTATATTTTTAGTAGAGACGGGGTTTCATCATGTTGGCCAGGATGGTCTCGATCTCTTGGCCTTGTGCTCCGCCTGCCTCGGCCTCCCAAAGTGCTGGGATTACAGGTATGAGCCACCTCGCCCGGTCCCAGTTTTGCTTTTTTTTTTTTTTAATTCTCTATTTTATTTATTTCTACTCTAGTCTTATTATTGCCTTTATATGCTTATTTTGGGCTTAGTTTGTTATTCTTTTTCTAATTTCTTTAAGTGTGAAGTTAGGATGCTTATTTGAGATCTTTTTATTTCCACTTGGGCATTCATTGCTATAAACTCCCCTTAGTACTGCTTTTGCTTTCCCATAAGTTTTGGTATGTTATGTTTTGTTTCTGTCTCAATAATTTTAAGATTTTCTTTTTTAATTCCCTCTTTGATCAATGATTGTTCAAGAGGGTGTTGTTGTATTTGTGAATTTTTTCATTTTCTTTTCTGGTTTTCTTTTTTTTTTTTTTAATTGAGACAGAGTCTCGCTCTGTCGCCCAGGCTGGAGTGCAGTGGTGCAATCTCGGCTCACTGCAATCTCCGCCTCCCAGGTTCAAGTGATTCTTCTGCCTCAGCCTCCCAAGTAGCTGGGACTACAGGTGCATGCCACCACACTCACCTAATTTTTGTATTTTTAGTAGAGACGGGGTTTCACCATGTTAGCCAGGACAGTTTCGATCTCTTGGCCTTGTGATCCGCCCACCTCGGCCTCCCAAAGTGCTGGGATTACAGACGTAAGCCACCATGCCTGGCGAATTTTTCCATTTTCTAGCTGTTATTGATTTCTAGTTTTATACCATTATGGTCAGAAAAGATACTTGGTGTGATTTTGATCTTCTTAAATTTGTTAAGTCTGTTTTTGTGACCTAACGTGAGTTATCCTTCAGAAAGTTCCATCTGTGCTTGAGAAGAATGTGTAGTCTTCTGCTGTTGGTTGGCAAATTCCATATATGTCTTTTGGGTCCATTTGATCCATAGTGTTGTTCAAGTTCACTGTTTATTGATTTTTCTGTCTGGATGATTTATCTATTATTAAAAGTGGAGTATTGAGCTTTCTTTTTTTTATTATGTTGCTGTCAATTTTTCCTTTTAGATTTGTCAATATTTGCTTTATATATTTAGGTGCTCTGATATTGGATGTATATATGTTCACAATTTTTATGTCTTCCTATTGAATTTACCCATTTATCATTATATAATGACTTTCTTTGTCTTTAGAAACAACTTTTAACTTAAAGTCTATTTTGTCTGACATAAACTTAGCCACCCCTGTTTTCTTTTGGTTGCTGTTTGCATGGAATATCTTTTTCCATCCCTTTATTCTCAGCTTTTATGTGTCTTTGAATCTAAACTGAGTTCATTGTAGACAGCATACAGTTGGATCTTTAATCCACTCAGCCTCTCCTCATATAGGCATACCTTATTATGTTGCACTTTGCTTTATTGCACTTCACAGATACTGCATTCTTTACAAGTCAAAGTTTCGTAGTAACCCTGCATTGAGCAAGTCGATTGGTGCCATTTTCCAACAGTATGTGCTCACTTCATGTTTCTATGTCACATTTTGGTACTTCTTGCAATATTTCAAACTTTTTCATTATTATTATATCTGTTATGATGATCTGTGATCAGTGATCTTTGGCATTACTACAAATGTGCTGAACAGAGAGTTGTAAAGCTGAAATAAATTTTTCTAGACTATGAATAATAAAAGTAATTTCTATAACCATGAGAGTGAGGAAAGACAAAATTGTGTTTCTGTTCTCTTTATTGAAAATAAAATTACAAAATTGTTGCGTGTGATGGTACGTACCTGTAGTGCCAGCTACTCTGGAGGTTGAGGCAGGAGAATCACTTGTGCCCATGGGTTTGAGACTGGCCTGAGTCCAAAAAAATTACAAAATTATTGTCGTATGAAGAAGTGATCAGTGTAGGAAAAAATTTCTATAAAGGAGTATCAGGCAGTTAATTTATAATAATTCTAACAATTTTTTTCTGGGTATCGTGATGTTTGTGGTGTTTATAACTTAAATTGTTGTAATTGTGCTTTCTTTTCTCGTTATTTTGTACTAACTTTGTACCCAATTAACAGTGTTCCCCAAATTATACAAGCTTCAGACCTCATAAAACTTGGATTTGTTCCTGGTCAGCAGTGTACCTAGACCTCTTTTTGGATTATTTACCTAAGTAGGGGATGGGTTGTATTGGTTGCCCTCTTGTGATACTTGTGGTATTTCCAGGAAAATTACTGAGAATTAAGAATTTGTGGGCTGGGAATGGTGGCTTATGCCTCTAGCCCCAGCACTTTGGGAGGCCAAGGAGGTGGATCACTTGAGCCCAGGAGTTTGTGGCCAGCTTGGGCAACGTGGTGAAACCCTGTCTCTACAAAAAATAACAAAAATTAGCTGGGCATAGTGGCACTCACCTGTAGTTCCAGCTACTCAGGAGGCTGAGGTGGGAGGATCGCTTGAGCCTGGGAGATTGATGCTAGAGTGAGCTGTGTTCTTGCCATTACATTCCAGCCTGGGTAACAGAACGAGACCCTGTCTCCAAGAGAAAAAAAAAAAATTCGTGACTTAGACTAGTTTTGTTTCCTGTGGAACTCCTAACTAGGCTGCTCAGAAATTATGCTTTTGATTTTGGCCTCATTAGCATCTAGCATAATGTTCTGGTCAGCTGATATAACACACTTAATGTTGCTGACAAATGCTGTACCAAATACATTATAGGGCTTTTAAGCTGTGCAGTAAAACCACAAAATTTCTAATCAAATATTAATAGCTATCTATCCTGCTTATATGTATTCTCCTTGTGATTTAAAATCATTGCTAAGCCACAGTTTAACTTCTTAAAATTTTACTTTGTAGAAAATTTTAAAATTGAATATATAAAGAAGCAAGTAAATGCCCTCAAAGTCTTACCACTTGGATACAACTACTATCATATGAAGAATGCTATCATTTAAAAATATACTTTGTAGTACTAGACTCTGAGTTGGGAGATCTTGTATTTCCTGGGTTCTAGACTTGTGAGTAATTTCCTGTATGACTTTGGACAAGTTAATTCCTCATTAGGGATCAGTCTTCTCATCTGGAAAGAGAGGTAGTACAACATTGTAGGGTTGTTGTGATGTATTTGGAATTTCTCAGTAGTTAGTTATAAAGTGCTTTCTAAGTCATAAATTGCCATATAAATGAATTTTTCATTATTAATTTTTTTTGTAATTAAGAAACCATATAGAAACAAATGCTTTTTTTTTGCACTATTACAGCTACAGAGATGGTAACAAAAATACCAGCTTGAAAACTTGGAATAAAAATGATTTTAAGCCTCAATGTAAACGAACAAACTTAGTGGCAAATGATGGAAAAAATTCTTGTCCAGTGAGTTCGGGAGCTCAACAACAAAAACAATTAAGAATACCTGAACCTCCTAACTTATCTCGCAACAAAGAAACCGAGCTACTCAGACAAACACATTCATCAAAAATATCTGGCTGCACAATGAGAGGGCTAGACAAAAACAGTGCACTACAGACACTTAAGCCCAATTTTCAACAAAATCAATATAAGAAACAAATGTTGGATGATATTCCAGAAGACAACACCCTGAAGGTAAATGTTTAAATACAAATTAATGACTTATTTACATTTTTAAAAATATGAGGTAAATATTTAGAAAACTACAGAGATAAGAGCGCCTGAAATAAATTCCATGACATACATTACTTGATTAGCATAAATATTCAGTTCCATTGAAGTGGATGAATGTTAGTTTCCAAAATATTTTCTTAGAGGGTATGAATGGCTGCTCCTTTTCCTTTCAAACTTTAGAGTTTTCTGCTGGATTCTGACTTTCACTTTACACTCATTTTAAAGATAAAGACAGTTTATCCATTGTTTATGAAGTTACCCAGGCTCTTGATATGTCATTCTAAGTATTTTTCAACAGAGGTCAGCAAACATTTTTCTTAAAGGGCCAGACAGTATTTTTGGCTTTATGGGCCGTACTGTCTCTGTTGCAGCTACTCAGCAATACTACTCAACTCTGCCACTGTAGCTTGGAAGCAGCCATAAGCAATACATAAATGAATGGACACTGCTCTCCTCCAACAAATGTTTACACAAATAGATAGCAGGTTAGATTTGCACTGCAGGCCATAGTTTTCTTTATGATCAACTTATTATGACCTTTGCTTTATGATCTTGTCCTAGTCTACCTTTGTAGCCTCATATTTCATAGTCTACTAATTGTCCAATGCTCTAGCCACTTCAGACTCGTCACAATTCTCTAAACATAGCATACACTCTGTGCTTTGGTTTATATTCTTCCCTATACCTGTATCTCAACTGTACTTCCTCTCTACGCTCAGTGCTCTGATTGCTCTTTGTAAATGTTATTTATATATTATGTGTGCTGGTTATTCCTCATCTCTGCTCCCTGGCCCCTTGGCCCACTTGATTCTTCACCTGCCCTTCTCTGTTGTGGAAGGCTGAACTGTCCTATGTAGTGCATCATCCTGAGATTGTTTACTTGCTGGCTTTTGCTAGAGGTCAGCCAGTAGGAGTCACTGGTACGACATCATAGGGTGGGAGGAAAGGTTGGGTTTTCTCACTTTCTCCTGTCTTAAATGTTACATCACCAGCAGTGGCTGTGTCACTGCATGATGTAGCCCCTTCATGAGTATAGCTTTCCTGGGCGTGATACTTTTATTTTCTCCTCTTGTCCTTTCAGCCT
Organism: Homo sapiens; assembly: GCF_000001405.40. Classification (NCBI taxonomy): domain Eukaryota; kingdom Metazoa; phylum Chordata; class Mammalia; order Primates; family Hominidae; genus Homo; species Homo sapiens. Next base: position 3,447,683 of record NC_000017.11, on the reverse strand, counting down.
AGGAATGGTAACAACTTCTTACAGTTGTTAGTTTTTGTTCTGCCCTTATGTCTGAAAAAGCAATCTTTTCAAAAAGCCATCGGGGTAAAATTTGTTTTTGCATGTTTTGTTTTTTGTTGGAAATAAGATTAATAAAGCATGTTTCACAGTGGTTCTCAATCTTATGTTTCCTTGTACTCAAGAATTATATGACATAATCACCTTAGTAACAGTGGTTTACTGTGGCCATCATCAACAGGAGGCATGTTAGAATCTTCGTTAAGCGGGGGAAGAGGGAAGAAACTACCTGTATTTTGAAAAAAGGTCCCATCATATGTTCTTCACAACCCTCACCCTCACAAAGGAAAGCGTCCCCTTGCCTTTGAAAATTAGTATTTTAACACACTGTATTCTTAGTTGATCTTCAAAAATGCTAAGAACATTTCCATCTCAGGGCTTTTATACTTGCTGTTCCCACTGTCCTCATTCAACAACCCACTTAAAATAATAACCCCCATCTCTCTCTCTTTCCATTTACCTTGTGTGTTTTTTTCCTAAAAAAAAAGTACATTTCCTGACATTCTGTTATATGTTTACTTATTTTTTAAATCCTCCACTAGACAATAAAATCTTCGAGGACAGATATCTTGACTGTTTTGTCCATGAATTTTTCCTAAATAGCTATGTTTGGCATGTAGTAGGTGCTCAGTAAACACTTTTGAAACGAATGAATGAATGAATGTGTCTGGCTCCTTCCCTAGAGTCCCCTAGAGTGTGAGTGCACTAGGGAAAGGAATGGCCTTACCTATATTTGTCACAGGATCTGGCATATGATGCTTTAAAATAGTCAATGAATGAATGAGTGAATGAATACCTATATAAATAATTCTCCTCTTGATTGTCTCTAAGTGCACCCTGGTTTCTCCATCTGTAATATAGTATTGATGGCCTTATTTTAGGGAAGTAACTATACTAAAATTTTCAGTAGTTCTTTTTACACACTTGTCCATTGTAAGGACTTAGAATTTTTACGTAGAAGGTAAACGAGTATGATGAAAAAAACAAATATTTTTCTAATACTATGTTTCTTATTTTTTCAAAAGGAAACCTCATTGTATCAGTTACAGTTTAAGGAAAAAGCTAGTTCTTTAAGAATTATTTCTGCAGTTATTGAAAGCATGAAGTATTGGCGTGAACATGCACAGAAAACTGTACTTCTTTTTGAAGTATTAGGTAGGTAAAATACTTTAAAAATACTTCAGTAATACTCTCTGGAGGACAGGTTTTAATGTCTGATTAGTCCTTTTTCTTCCAAATAAAACAGTCTGCTTTTTGCTACTCCCTAAAGTGTATTCAAAGAACTGGTTTTAATAATAGTCCCTGTGGTAGATAGAATAATGCTCCCTAAAAATGTCTACATTCTAATTACCAGAATAATGCACCCTAAAATGCCTACATTCTAATTACCAAAACCTGTGAATGCTACCTTATATGGCAAAAGAGACTTTGCAGATGTAATTAAGTTAGGGATCTTGAAATGGGAAGATTATCTTGTATTATTTGGGTGGGTTCAATGTAATCACAAGGGTCCCTTATACAAGGAAAGCATTGAAAGATGCTACCTTGCTGGCTTTGAAGATGGAGGAAGGGGCCATGAGCCAAAGAATGCAGGCATCTTTGAGAAGTTGGAAAAATTAAGGAAATAGATTTTACTCTAGAGCCTCCAAAAGGAACATGGCTTTGATGACTCATTATAGACTTCTGACCTCCGTAACTATTAAGATAATGCTTTTGTGTTGTTTTAAGCCAACCACTAAGTTTGTGGTAATTTGTAAGCAGCAATGGGAAACTGATACAGCCTCCTCCTTTTCCTTTTGTCCTGTTATATATATATATGTAAATATAAATGTGTGTATATATAGATGTAGATTTCTATCAGTGCAGTCATTTCACATGTTTAACTTTCACCTAAAAATGATTCCAGTTTCTCTCTTGTTACCATTAAGGAAAAAGCTTTATTATATAAAGTGACATTGGATTCAATAGAGACTCAGACTTTGAGTAAAGCACGCTGTATTCATTTTCAATTGCTGCGTAACAAAGTAATGGAAACTTAGCAGCTAAAAACCACACCCACTTCTTAACTCAAGTTTTGTAGATCAGAAGTCCATGTGGGCTTGACTGCGTTCTATACTCAGGGTATCACAGTGCTAAAATCAAGGTGTTGGCTGGGCTGGTTTTGTTCAGTTTTCGTTTTTGGCTTTTTGGAGGTTTCCATGCCTCTGGCCTCTGGAACTCCCATATACTTCAGGGATTCTTTATCAAGTCCTACTCATGTTGCTTGAAGCATATCTCTTAGCTGGTTGGCATGACTGTTACTACTCTGTTGAAGCTTGACTTAGCTCTTATTTTGTTCAGTTCTTACCAGTAGCCACGTAACTGCAATAGCAGATGGTATTCTATTTCATGTCAGTTTTCTGTCAGAGCTAGAATACTGTCAGAGGTAGAACATCTTATTTCAAAGATCTTAACCCCTGTTGGACTTCCCACTAAATTGCTTTTTCCTGTGTGAAAGATGCCTTTGGCTCTCACCTCATTTACAGAATATAAATATTAAAATAACCTGAGCCTATTAAAAGGACATGCTGATTCCATTCATTTCCCCAGGTTCTCTTTGGTGAGTTGTTCAGGTTCACTCCAGAATAATCCTTTTAAGAATATCACAATACTCATTATAAACACCAATAGACATTCTTATCAAGAAATGAAGGGGGTCCATGCTTTTATATGTGATGGTTAGCTTTCATAGTGCTATAATAATCCTGAGTTCCTAGGCTAGACTCTAAACTTATCAAAGGTAGATACTTCATTTTACTACACTTTAGTGTCTAGCACACTGCACTGTATATAGGAAGTATCTTCCAGTTGCAAGCACCCCCCAGAAAAAAACAACTTTAGTGGATTTTAAATACTCATTTATATTGCTATGTATAATATTGTGTTGCATAGAGAATTATTCACGCAACTGAAAAGTGGCTAGGTTTCTGACTTCAGGCAAAGCTTGATCTAGCTGCTCAAGAGATGGCACAGTGATTTCTCTCCATCCTTCTGGCCAGTCATAACGTTGGCTTCATCTTAAGGCTCCACACTATAGTCTCTCCAGAAGCTTCTGACTCTCTCCTTATGGTAGCAAGTTGATTATTAAATTTTTGTAGACTATACATTCTTATACCACACCGTCATATTCTTAGATTTTTCTTCTGATTGCTCTTTCCTACAAACTAACAAATGAGTCTTTGCATATAACCATTTCTGACTTGGTAACATGCCTATTGCAGAAACCCTGAACTACGTAGTTGAGTAATAAAATATGCTGATTGGATTAAGTCAGTCACAGTTCACTCGTGGATCTGGGGATGGGGACAAATCCTATCCAAATAATATGGCTAAAAATGGAATTTTCCTGAAGGATAATCTGGGTCTTTTTAGCAGAAATGGAGGCCAGCCTCAAAATAACAAATGCCCACTACCAGTACTCAGTAGATGGTTATTAAATAAATGAATAATGCTGTCACTTCATAATAGTTTCTTGAGATAAACATGAATTACAATTTGCGTTTTATAGGTGAAGAAACAGATTTGAAAGTGGTTAAACAATTTACTCAAGGAGGAGGGAATAGGGAGATGTAGGTCAAAGGGTACAAACTTGCAATTATGTAGGATGAGTAAGTCTAGAGACTTAATGCACAGAGGAGGTCTATAGTTAATATTATTGTATTGTATATTAAAATTTTGGTAAGAGTAGATTGTAGGTGCTCTTACACACACAAAGGATAACTATGGAAGGTGTTGGGTATGTTAACTTGCTCACTGTAGAAATGATTTCACTATATATAGGTATATGAAAATATATTGTATGTATATGAAAATATGTTGTATACCTTAAATGTATATAATAAAAATAAATTTAATACCCAGTTTGCTCAAAGTCACAAAATATTAGTAAGTTGAAGTACCTGGGACCTGAATGCATGTCTCCTGATTCTAATTCAATGTTTCTTTTTTCATTAAATTATGATGCTTATTTGTTACACATGTGCATTTTATTATTATAATGTTGTAGACTGTTCTGGGGATTTAACCACTCTGTACTACACATTCTAAGGAAAAAGTTTCAGATGGCCATTTATTGTCAATTGTATGAGCTTGGCATATAATCTGTTCCTAAGTTGGAGAGAGTCAGAAGTTTTGTTTTCCTACCTATAAAACTGCCTGAGAAATATCTTCTCTTCTTAAAATGTCTTCTTTATTGCTATATAAATAGCACTATGAGAGGTTGATATGGATAGTTATTTAAACATCAGCTTCTCTTTGTTAAATTTTATTTGCAGTTTACCAACATTCATTTTTTCCCCCATTTCAATATTGCTTAGCTGTTCTTGATTCAGCTGTTACACCTGGCCCATATTATTCGAAGACTTTTCTTATGAGGGATGGGAAAAATACTCTGCCTTGTGTCTTTTATGAAATCGTGAGTATTTTTAAAGTACTCTTTGCGAAGCCTATGTCAACAGAATATAAACATGCAGGCTATAATTCAGTTGAAATATAAATTCTGTTAACAATTTAGTACTTTTAACACTGGTTTTAGTTCTGATATGAAAGTTGTTTATTTTTATAATATAGAGAGCCTACTACGTGCTAGGTACTGTGCTGGGTTTGAGGGATATAAAGTGGAATGTAAATGGCAAATGGCTCTTTCTCTCAGAGTTTGTAATCCCAGGTAGAATGGTACAGAAATGTTACACTGTGATATGGTGAATGGCTTGGTGGAGCTAGGTATGTGCAGGGTGCTAGAGAAGTAGGTAAGAAGGAAGGGGCAGATCAGGGAAAGATTTTCAAAGAAGGTGGTAACTTATCCTAGATCTTTAAGGACTAATAAGAATCAACTAAGCCAAAATGTGTTGGGGAGGGAAAGAAGGATATAGTCTAAGGTGAGGGAGCAGCATATGCAAAGACTTGAAGCTAAGAGAGAGCTTCACTTGTTCAGGGAACTGAAAGTAGTTATAATTACCAAAGTGAAGAGTTAGGAACTGTTAGGGGTAAGGGTAGTGGTTCTGAAAGTGGGGGAAAGCATAGTGGGCTGGGATATAAGGAGGCTTGGTGACATAGAAGTGTGGAGATTGCAAAGGAGGCTATAGACCTACACACATTGAGGCTGTATAAGAGCTACATAAACTTTGTAAAAGTTTGACCTTAATTCTGACATTGGCCTCAATTCTGAAATCAGACTTGGATTCCAGCATTTACTCCAACATTTTCTAGTTTTATGACTTAAGAAAGCTGCTTAAATTACTTGAACTTCAGATTTTTAAAAAATATAAAATGGGGAGACAAATTCCTACTTCGAAAGGTTGTTAAGGGGATTAAATGATGAAACATGAATATACAGTGCATGACACATAGTTGATGATCAAGAAATAATTGTCAATTCCTATAATATCTTGAATGTGTATTATTTTTATCTAGTCTGAAGTTTTTTAAAAAAACTTTGTTATTGCAGTATAACATGTACAGAAAAGTATAAAAATCATAACTGTACAGTTCTGTGAAGTATCACAAAGTGAATGCCAAACCAGGTTAAGAAACAGAACATTGTCATCACCCCCCAAATCCCTTTGTGCTTCTTCCCATTCACTACCTCTTGTCTTCTACTTACAGGTAACCACTAGCCTGACTTTTAATGTCATCAATTCATTCTGCCTGTTTTTGTACTTTATAAAAATAGTATCATACATTATGTCTTTTTAAATATGTGATTTCCTTTATTTGACAAAATGTTTGTAAGATTCATCTATGTTGTGTGTAGCTGTAGCTCACTCATTTATATTGCTATGTATAATATTGTGCTGCATGAATATGCTACAGTTTTCTATTTCACTGTTGGTGGGCATTTGGGTTTCTGGATTTTTTGCTGTTATGCATAATGTTCTATGAACATTCTTATCTATGTCTCTTATGCATTTGCATGTATTTCTGTTTGATATATACTCAGAAGTAAAATTGCTGGGTCATAGAGCATGTGTATATTCAAATACAGTAGATATTGCCAAAGAATTTTTCAAAGGATTGTGTCAATTTAAGTACTCACAGGCAATGTAGGAGAGTTATGGTTGCTCTGCATTCTTACGAACGCTTAGTATTGTCGATCTTTTTTATTATAACAATTCTGATGAGTAAATTTAGTGTTATCTCATTTCTTTACAATTCCCTAGTGAGTAATGAGGTTGAGTACCTTTTCATATGCTATTTAGATATCTTTTTTGTAAAGTCTGTTCAGGCATCTTGCTGTTTTCTTCTCTTATTTGTCTTTTTCTTACTGATTCTAGGAATTAAAAAGAAAAACTATTCTGGGAATCAGTTTTCTGTCCATTATGTGCATTGCAAATATTTTCTCATATCCATGGTTTGCTTTTTCCCACTTGATGATGGCTTTTGATAAACAGAAGTTTTTCATTTTCATATAATCCTTTTATCAATAATTAGTCTTTCCCCTTATAATTAGTGCTTTTTGTGACTATTTAATGAAAGCAACTTCAGAATGCTTTAATTTTATTCATAATTGAGAGGATTTGGAGAAGGCTAATCTTTTTCTGATTTACTTGTCTCTAAAGGCATCACACTTTTGGGTCCCAACCTTAAGCTTCAGGTCTGAGTGGGGGTGGTTACTAGAATCTCTTTTCCTTGGACGCCTAAGATTCCATTTTTTTGTTTCCCACCTATACAAGTCTGTGAAATCTCTGCTCAGTTTCTTAGACTCTCAAATGCTTTTCTGTAATTTGCAGACATCTCAGGGAGAAAGCACACCCCAAACCAGGTTTCATCTGAGACTCCCATACTATCCTAGATGGGGTGTGAGGGGGTCTCTGTAATTCCTCACTGTCTTGATATCTCTCTGATGCTTACGAGGAGATTTTTAACAAAACATTTCATCCAGCTATCCTAATTGTCATCTGATGAGCTGTTTTGAGTCACCCAGTCTGCTGCCTACTGAAAGTGGAACTCTGGGAATCTGATAAAAGAGTGGGTAATTTCATGTGTCATTACACTGGGGATTATTCAGTCTTTGATGAAGCAACAACTTGCTAGCTTGTAAGAGCCCTACCAAGTGAGGGTCTTTCCTCTGTTACAGGGTACCAATATGTGAATAACTATCATTGTCTTGTTAGCAGTGGGGCCCTGACTCACGTGAAGGAATTATAGCATTTTGAGGTGGCACATGTTTAGTTGATCACATAAATATTTAAAAAATTGAAATTCAGATGAAGTAATAACTATTTTTTGATACTTATTTTTTGAAAAACAGGATCGTGAACTTCCGAGACTGATTAGAGGCCGAGTTCATAGATGTGTTGGCAACTATGACCAGAAAAAGAACATTTTCCAATGTGTTTCTGTCAGACCGGCGTCTGTTTCTGAACAAAAAACTTTCCAGGCATTTGTCAAAATTGCAGATGTTGAGATGCAGTATTATATTAATGTGATGAATGAAACTTAAGTAGTGATAAAAGGAAGTTTAGCATAAATTATAGCAGTTTTCTGTTATTGCTTAATTTACCATCTCCATAGTTTTATAGCTACTATTGTATTTCACTTGTTGAATTAAAGTATTTGAATTCTTTTAAATGTGGAAAGAGTTTTTGAAGTATAATTTTAATGTTTTTATTAAAATGGTATATTTGCTAAAATTCCACAACCATCCTAGATAAAAATGCTCACTGTAACAGGAATAGATGATGCTTATTTAATATGGGATAATAATACATCTGAGTTAGCTCAAAAGCCAGCATTGGGCTTAAGGGGGAAATACTACAGGTATTTGCACTATCAGGAAAAAGACAAGTGTACCCACTGTCACTACTGTTATTAAGCATTGTTCTGGAACTGCTAGTCTGTGCGGTTCATTTAATTACTTCAAATATTTAATGAAAATCTGCTTTGTGCCAGGCATTGTTGCAAATGCTAGAGACAGAGCAGTTCACAAAGTAACAAAAATTAGGGGTGCCAGAAAGGTTGGTGTGCTTTGAACCAGGAGCCCATGTATCATCATGTTTCTCTCATAGCCATGATTCACAAGTCTGGAAATCAAGGAGTGGTAGTAGGGCTGACTTCCTCATTATTAGACCAACTAACATACCCACAGAACTTTTGCTCCCTACCCCCACAATTTTGGGCTCTGTTGATTAACAGATCTTACTTTCTGTCATAGCCTAGGTTACCCAAAAAGTGGAGACTGAGAAAAAGTCTTATTTGTAAGTAGTTTATTTGAGAATTTTACCTCATGTGAAGAAGTAAGGAATAGAGGGGGTGTTAAATAGGGAAGAAGAGAGACCAGTTACTAGGATGACTTATTGAGTTGGCAGCCACTAGGAGGGACTAAGGCATATATGCATAAGCTCCCAATACCTGTATTTAAGGGTTGACCAACACGGCAACAACTCCCTTGCACTTTCTGGTTGTGTATGTATGAGCATTGGGCTGGTTTTCCATGATATTCTACTCCATGGAATCAGAGGAACCATATGGCAGGACACAAGAAGCAGATGGAATAGGCCTGAGTAAAACTGTCAGACCGAATCTATGTGAAGCTGGTCAAAGGCTGCACAGAATTGGTTATTGCAACCATGGCTGGAATAAGAGAAGATGGCTGAGAGAATTTGAAGTGGTGGACAAGAAGTGTCTGATACAATTCTTAAGGAAGAAGTGTCTGATACAATTCTTAATGTTTTACCGGAAGTGCTTCCATGGTTCTAGTCTACTGAAAGTTGAGACTGCCATTTGGCAATTTTGGTTCTTTATGTTTTCAAATCAGTAGGCAAAGAAGGGGTTTACTGTACTGCCTGTGGTACTTCAATCCCAGTTAACAATGGAAAATTGTGTTTCTCTGCATAATGAGGAAAGGGAAGACCATATCTGACATGCAGGGGATTCTTCTGTATGTCACTTAGTAAAAGTTAATGGAACACTATTATAGCAACCCAAGAAAAACAATAACACTGAGGATTCAGACTCAAAAGGAATGTGGGTTGAATCTAGCTGAAGTTATGTAAAAGGGAACATGGAATGGGTGTGGAAGAAGGAGTTGTAAATGTCAGTTGTGGTCTTGTGATCAGTTGTAGGGTAAGGAAAAGCTAGTAGGAGGTAATATGACACGTGAAGAGTGGTTGAGATAATGATGGTGTCTGGTTATTAAGGTTTTCCTAGAGAGGTAAGGAGCTAGAAGTAACTCAGAGGGCTGCAAATATGGATTTACTTTTCCATATTTGCCTGAGGAAGAATTGAATGTGATCCGGGAGAGTTCATCTTTTCTCTTATTCCTGTCCTTTATATCTGTATATGGTTGGATAATGGAAGTCTGATCCTTGTTGGTTACCATTTTTCTCTCTCCTAGGGCCTATTTACAGGGAGTTGGGTTATAGTAAGAGATTCTGCCACCTGGAAATATTTCCAAAGCATATGTCTTTCCCTGGTGGTCCTCTATTCAAAGACCACTGATGGCTTGTTGTTGTCCACAGGATAAAGCCTAAACTCTTAGACTCTTAAGATGTTTTAGGACATTTACAGTCTGGTCCCTGCTTGCTTCTGTGACTTCTCCAACCATTTTTCTTCACTTCTCAAGATGTAGGCCCCAACCTCACAGGCATGCTCTCCATTCCCTAAGCAGGCAATGATTAAACACCCATCCCTGAGCTTCTCTCCATTCTCATGATCCCCCGATCCCCCAAAGTATAGTAAGGTGTGATCAACAGCTGTAATCAGTCACTGTTGCAGGACTCTAAGATAATTTGTTCTAGAGACGTCCTGTGTAATTACTTTGTTTTTAATGAGTTCCTCCAGGATCTAGGCTTCTCCGGGATGCATAGTCCGGTAGGGCCAGGGATAGGTAGAAAGAGAGATGTCAGAAGGGTGAGTACAGACACAGGTGATGACTACAAAGGCTGTTGCAACCAATAAAGGGGAGGAGGATTTTGGATCAGGGCCCTGGAGTTAACCTCAGACACAGAGTAAGTTGGGCAGGAGGGTGAATAAGCTGGTAGCTTAGCATCCCTACAACCTGAGGGTCTTGATTTCCCCAGTTGTATGATGTTCTATAGGATAGTTTTTCAGATATAACTTTCCTTTTCTCCACCTCTCTGCTTTTCAAGACTTTTCTACATTCCAGAAATATTTTGATTTAATGTTCACAACTTAATATCTTTTTATTAATGACAGTGTCCATTAATACTATGCAATGTCCTCTCTCATGATTGTATCATTTCAACATAATGACATCTCTATGAGATAGGCATTTAATACAGAGATTTCAAGCCCTCGGCCATATATTTGAATTACTTAAGGAGCTTACTTAAGGCCCCCTCCAGAGATTCTAATTACATTTATTGGGGGATGGTGCCGTAATCTGTATTTTTAAAATGTATTATATGTCCTTACTACTCAGTGTGGTCCACAGAACAGCAGAATTGGCATCACCAAATGTGAAATTTTAACTTTCGGAATGTAGAATATTAGGCCCTACACCAGACCTATTGAATCAAAATCAGCATTTAACAAGACCACCAGGTGGTTTGTATGTAAATTAAAGTTTTAGAAGCAGTGACCTTTGTGATTCTTATATTCAGTCCAGACTGAGAACTGTAGATTTACCAGGTGAAGAAGATGAGAGGCATTATTGAGGGAGCAGCTGAAATTTATATTCCCGATCAGTGGCAGCATTCACAAGTGATGTCTCTCTGGTTTGGAATTTCTAATAAGACCCTTGACACCAGAGATTGGTCCCACTCATTTCCCAGGTAGGCAAACTTCTGAGAGAACAGGCATGTGAAACTTCACTTGATGCCATTTCCCTACTACAATACTAGCAGATTATATTCAAATGTGAAAAACTGTTAACGTGGCTAGACTAAACATCACTAGCAGGGTGAAGATCCCGACAGACTCAGCTACATCCCTCTAGGGAAGGAACTTCTCATGTACCCTAACACCCTTCAGCTTTCTTAGCTCAGAGGCATTTTGAGGTATGGATATCTGGAGAGGAAGTACAGCGAGGTCTCAAGGGTGGATATCCTCGTTCCCTTTCTCCCCAAATTATAGAAACTTTCAGATACAATTCTTCATGTCAACATAACTGAACCATGTAGACATCAACACCAAAACCAAAATGACAGTGTCAACATGCATAATGGGCTGTCTTTTTAAAATAAAGAGTAGGGTGGTTGGATGGTCTAACATTTTCCATAGGTCTGAAGTTTATCTCAGAATTTTGTAATAAAGTGTCAAAACTAGCACTAAATGGTTAAGGCTAGTGAATTCTTATTCTGGGAGGATTTAATAGGAGTCGTTAAACTACAATGGGTGTTGGCTGCTTTAAAGTTGGAGGGGCCGGGCGCGGCGGCTAACGCCTGTAACCCCAGCACTTTGGGAGGCCGAGGCGGGTGGATCACCTGAGGTCAGGAGTCCAAGACCAGCCTGACCAACATAGAGAAACCCCGTCTCTACTAAAAATACAAAAATTAGCTGGGTGTGGTGGCATTTGCCTGTGAGCCCAGCTACTCATGAGGCTGAGGCAGGAGAATTGCTTGAACCTGGGAGGCGGAGGTTGCGGTGAGCTGAGATCGTGCCATTGCACTCCATGCTGAGCAACAAGAGTGAAACTCTGTCTCAAAATAAATAAAAAATAAAGTTGGAGGAGTGTATGTCTCAGCCTGAAGGACAGCCAACAAATACTAATGAAACATTGGCCATATCCAGGCACCATCCCAGTTGCTGGCCTTGGTGCAGTCACGAAGGCAGTCATGGCCTTATCTGTATGGAGTTTACAATTTGGTAGGAAACTCAGCTATAAACAAGCAATCAAGGTCATTGAATGCTGCTGGATGAGTACAAGATGCTGTGGAAACTTAGAAGCAGGTCTCACCTGGTCTGAGTGATTGAGCTGAGCCAGTGACATGTAGTAAACCTGCAGGAGAAGCAGGGGTATGCCAAGTAAGAGAAGGCAGAGGGGCCGGGCGTGGTGGCTTACGCCTGTAATCCCAGCACTTTGGGAGGCTGAGGCAGGCGGATCATGAGGTTAGGAGATCGAGACCATCCTGGCTAACATGGTGAAACCCCATCTCTACTAAAAATACAAAAAAATTAGCCTGGTGTAGTGGCGGGTGCCTGGAGTCCCAGCTACTCGGGAGGCTGAGGCAGGAGAATGGCGTGAAGCTGGGAGACAGAGCTTGCAGTGAGCCAAGATCGTGCCACTGCACTCCAGCCTGGATGGCTGAGCGAGACTGTCTCAAAAAAAAAAAAAAAAAAAAAAAAAAAAAAAAAAAAAAGCAGAGGTAAGATGTTACACAGAAGGAACAGCAAGTGTGAACGTCTGGAGGCAAGAAATTATGACTTCTAAGTCTAGCATTGCTGGAGAATGCTGGAGAATGCTGATGCAAGAGTCATTGTGGGACCAGATGAGGCTGTGGAGGTAGGCATGGGTCAGATAATGAAATATGATTTGTGTCCTTGAAAGGAATTTTGTGTATATGTTAAGAATAATGAGAATCCATAAGGACTCTGAGCAGGAGAATGATGATCAGATTTTTATCTTAGAATGCCACAGTGTGTGGCCGGGCACGGTGGCTCAGGCCTGTAATCCCAGCACTTTGGGAGGCTGAGGCGGGCAGATCACGACGTCAGGAGATCAAGAACATCCTGGCTAACACGGTGAAACCCCGTCTCTACTAAAAATACAAAAAATTAGCCGGGCGCGATGGCGGGTGCCTGTAGTCCCAGCTACTCGGGAGGCTGAGGCAGGAGAATGGCGTGAACCCAGCAGGAGGAGCTTGCAGTGAGCTGAGATTGCGCCACTGCACTCCAGCCTGGGTGACAGAGCGAGACTCCATCTCAAAAAAAAAAAAAAAAAAAAAAAAAGAACGCCACAGTGTGAATGGATTGAAGGCTAGTGAGCATAGCAGCAGGGAGATGAAGTAAGAGACTATTCCAATAGTCCAGACAAGAAAAGATGTCAGCCTGTTCCAGATTGTGGCAACTGGGATAAGCAGTGGGTGAATTAGAAATAGAATGAAGTACAGAATCTATATAACTTGCTAGGATTAGATGTTGATCTTGAGAGAAATAAATAAATGAAAGAAAACTCCCAGGTTTCTGACTTGAGCCTGGATTCCTTTTACTGAGATATGAGAGACTGGAGGAGCAAATTGGAAGAGTGGCAGGGTGAGATAACGAGTTTCATCTGGGATCTGTTAAGCTGAGGATGGTCATGATCCATAGGGAGATAATCAGGAAGCAACTGCTAATGCAGTACTAATGATGATAGGTTTACCCAGGAAGTTCAGATGGTAATCAGTGTCACGGGGACAGGTGAACTCTTTCAGGGCTTGATCTGTAGAATTAGAACAGAATTTAGGAAAAATTCCCAGAAAACAGCAACGTATAAGATACTGTTAGAGAAGAAACCATTTACAGTTGTTAAGAAGGAATGGCCAATATGTGTCAGGAAACCAGTGTGATTGCACGGAAGCTAATAGATAAGAGTGTTTTAGAAAGAAAGGAGGAGTCAATCTTGCTACATGTTATGCAAAGTGAGATGGATCAGTGTGAAAAGTAGCGTGGATTTTGTGATGTGGCACATTTCTGATTATAGAAATAATTATAGAAATCTCTGAATATAGAGATTGTTGTTAGGGAAAATGAGGGTGAAATCAGTGATTGAACACCTGTTGACCATGTATCATAGGAATATATTTATTTTTATTCACGGTTTTGAGGGACCCTATTATATTCTCTTAAAGATACTGGAGACAGAGCATGATGGGACAAAATCAAACCAGCATCTCAGACTTCCTGCTCCTGGGCCTGCCCATCCAACCAGAGCAGCAAAACCTGTGCTATGCCCTGTTCTTGGCCATGTATCTTACCACCCTCCTGGGGAACCTCCTCATCATTGTCCTCATTCGACTGGACTCCCATCTCCACACGCCTGTGTATTTGTTTCTCAGCAACTTGTCCTTCTCTGACCTCTGCTTTTCCTCAGTCACAATGCCCAAATTGCTGCAGAACATGCAGAACCAAGACCCATCCATCCCCTATGCAGACTGCCTGACCCAAATGTACTTCTTCTTGTATTTTTCGGATCTAGAGAGCTTCCTCCTTGTGGCCATGGCCTATGACCGCTATGTGGCCATCTGCTTCCCCATGCACTACACCGCCATCTGCTTCCTCCTGCACTACACCGCCATCATGAGCCCCATGCTCTGTCTCTCCGTGGTGGCGCTGTCCTGGGTGCTGACCACCTTCCATGCCATGTTACACACTTTACTCATGGCCAGGTTGTGTTTTTGTGCAGACAATGTGATCCCCCACTTTTTCTGTGATATGTCTGCTCTGCTGAAGCTGGCCTGCTCTGACACTCGAGTTAATGAATGGGTGATATTTATCATGGGAGGGCTCATTCTTGTCATCCCATTCCTACTCATCCTTGGGTCCTATGCAAGAATTGTCTCCTCCATCCTCAAGGTCCCTTCTTCTAAGGGTATCTGCAAGGCCTTCTCTACTTGTGGCTCCCACCTCTCTGTGGTGTCACTGTTCTATGGGACCGTTATTGGTCTCTACTTATGCCCATCAGCTAATAGTTCTACTCTAAAGGACACTGTCATGGCTATGATGTACACTGTGGTGACCCCTATGCTGACCCCCTTCATCTACAGCCTGAGGAACAGAGACATGAAGGGAGCCCTGGAAAGGGTCATTTGTAAAAGGAAAAATCCCTTCCTTCTATGACAGTAATACTTGGGAGTCTTATATAATTTTATCTAATAGATACATGGACATTAATATTTCAATATTATTTCAGATCTCTTTTTTTCTGCACATGAAACTTTTTGTTTAAATGTAATATTACATAATTTCTGAGTAAGTAAAACAGATGTGGGGGGGATATGTAGTTGAAGTAAGGTGTTCTCAGTAACCTGCTAGGAAGATTTTCCTTTTTGCTAATCCCAGGTGAAGAAAATCTTTAAATTAAAGATTTAAAATATTTAAATTAAAATTTCCGTCTTCATTGTTAAACCACCAGTTTATCATGTGTACTTGAAAAAACCCTGTAGGTCTGCTTTAAATGATATTCTGTCCTCTCATGTCAATAATAAGACCCAGACATCTCAGTCCCCTTCTTTGCTAAACAAAACTACAAATTTTGAATAAATTTTTTTTACTCATTTTCCTGAGCAAGTGTTCACATCAGCCTGTCTCCTAACTTTGTTTTCTTTCTTTTTTAAATTTTATTATTATTATACTTTAAGTTTTAGGGTACATGTGCACAATGTGCAGGTTAGTTACATATGTATACATGTGCCATGCTGGTGTGCTGCACCCATTAACTCGTCATTTAGCATTAGGTATATCTCCTAAAGCTATCCCTCCCCCCTCCCCCCACCCCACAACAGTCCCCAGAGTGTGATGTTCCCCTTCCTGTGTCCATGTGTTCTCATTGTTCAATTCCCACCTATGAGTGAGAATATGCGGTGTTTGGTTTTTTGTCCTTGCGATAGTTTACTGAGAATGATGATTTCCAGTTTCATCCATGTCCCTACAAGGGACATGAACTCATCATTTTTTACAGCTGCAAAGTATTCCATGGTGTATATGTGCCACATTTTCTTAATCCAGTCAATCATTGTTGGACATTTGGGTTGGTTCCAAGTCTTTGCTATCATGAATAGTGCTGCAATAAACATACATGTGCATGTGTCTTTACAGCAGCATGATTTATAGTCCTTTGGGTATATACCCAGTAATGGGATGGCTGGGTCAAGTGGTATTTCTAGTTCTAGATCCCTGAGGAATCGCCACACTGACTTCCACAATGGTTGAACTTTTCTTAATTTTTATGTCTGCATGTCTTTTTACCTGACCCAAACCTAAAATGAACTTTCTATTTGCTTACATACCATACTTTAGTTTATCTATATCTAAGAACTAAGTCATACCTAAGGCCCTAAAAGGACTTCTCAAGCATGGGGAAGGGAACCAAAGTCTGCTTAAGAACCTCACTCATTTGTTCACTCATTCATTTATATTAGTTATTTTGAAATTGTTTTAAAAATTGACACATAATGTACATATTTATTGGGTACAGTGTGATATTTTGATACATATATACAATGTACAATGATCAAATCAGGAAAATCAGCATTTCTATCACCTCAAAATTTATCATTTCTTAGTATTGAGAACATTCAAAATTCTCTCTTCTAGTTATTTGAAAAATGCAATAAATTGTTTACCAGAGTCATCCTACAGCGCTATAGAACACTAGAACTTATTCCTCCTATCCTATAATTTTTTATCTATTAACTAACCTCTATAACCCCACTTCTTCCCCTTCTCAGCCTCTAGCAGCCAATATTCTACTCTATACTTCTATACTGCCAACTTTTTAAGCTTCCACACACGAATGAGAATATGTGGTATTTATTTTTCTGTGCCTGACTTATTTATCAAAATATCCTTCAGGCTCATCCATGTTGCCATGAATGACAAGATTTTATACTTTTTACTGACTGAGTAGTATTCCATTGTGTATATATACACCATATTTTCATTATTCATCTGTTGATTGGCCACTTAGGTTGATTCCATATCTTGGCTAACATAAATAGTGCTAGGAGTGAAAATGTCTCTTGGACATACCTATTTTCTTTCTTTTGCATACACACCTAGTAATGGGATTGCTAGATCAATTGGTAGTTCTATTTTTAGCTTTTATGAGAACTTCCATACCATGTTCCATAATAGCTGTACTAATTTACATTCCCACCAACAACAATATATAAGAATTATCCTTCTCCATATCTTTGCCAGCATTTGTTATTTTTAGTTTTCTTGATAATACTCACATTAATTGGGGTGAGATGAGGTCTCATTTTGGTTTTGATTTGAATTTCCCTGATAATTAGTGATATTGGGCATTTTTTCACACACGTTGTTCATTTGTATGTCTTTTTTTGAGAAATGTTTATTCAGATCCTTTGCCCATTTTTTAACTTAGATTATTATTATTATTATTTGCTGTTGAGTTGAATTCCTTGTACATTTTGGATATTAAAACCTTACCAAATGAATAGCTTGCAAAGATTTTCTCCCATTCTACAGGTTTTCTGTTCATCCTGTTGATGGTTTTCTTGCTGTGCAGAAGCTTTTTAGTTTGATATAATCCAAGTTGTCTATTTTTTCTTTTGTTGGCTGTGCTTTTGAGGTATTATCCATAAAATATTTGCCCAGAGTAAGTTGCTGAAACATTTTCCCTATGTTGTCTTCTAGTAGTTGCATAGTGTTGGGTATTACATTTAAGTCTTTAATCAATTTTGAGTTAATATTTGTATATGGTGAGAGGTAGGGGCCTAGTTTTATTCTTCTGCATGTAGATATTCAGTTTTCACAGCACAATTTATTGAAGAGACTGACTTTCCCAGTGTATGTTCTTGGTGTTTTTGTTGAAAATTGGTTGGCTGTAAATACATGGATTTATTTCTGGATTCTCTATTGTGTTCCATTGGTCTGTCTGTTATTATACCTGTACCGTGCTGTTTTGATTACTATAGTTGTGTAGTGTAGTTTGAAGTCACGTAGTGTGATACAGTGAGTTTTTTTCTTTTTGCTCAGGATTGGTTTGGCTATTTGGGGTGTTTCGTGGTTCCATATAAATTTCAGGATTTTTTTTTTCTATTTCATGAAAGAATATCATTTCTATTTGATAGGAATTACATGGAATTGGTAGATTGCTTTGGGTAGTATGGTCATTTTAACAATATTATTTCTTCCAATCCATGAACATGGAATGTTTTTCCTTTTTTTTTTTTATCCTCTTCATTTTCTTTCATATAATTTTCCTTATAGAGATTGGTTAGATTTTTTTCCTAGGTAGTGGGATTGCTTTCTTGATTTATTTTCAGCTACTTTGTTTTTGGTGTATAGGAATGCTACTAATTTTTGTATGTTGATTTTGTATTCTGCAACTTTACTGAATTTGCTTAATTTAATTTAAATCTAAGACATTTTGGTGGGATTCTTAGGCTTTTCTATAGATAGGACTATTTATCTGCAAAGGACAATTTGACTTCCTTCTTTTTGGTTTAGATGCTGTCTATTTTTTCTCTTGTCTAACTGCTCTTGATAGGATTTCCAGTAGCATATTTAATAAGATTAGCAAGAGTACACATCCTTGTCTTATTCCAGTTCTTAGAGAAAAAGCTTTCAGCTTTTCTCCGTTCAACATGATATTAGCTGTGGGTTTGCCATATTTGGTCTTTATTGTGTTTAGGTACATTTCTTCTATACCTAATTTATTGAGAATTTTTTTCATAAAGTGATGTTGAATTTTATCAAATGCTTTTTCTGTGTCTATTGAGATGATCATATGGGTTTTGTCCTTCATTCTGTTAATGTGATGTATCTCATATGTTGATTTCCATATGTTGAGCCATCTTTGCATTCTTGAGATAAATCCACTTGAATCCACTTGAACATAGTGCATAATCTTTTTGATGTGCTGTTGGATTTTGTTTGCTAGTATTTTGTGAAGAATTTTTGCATCTATGTTCATCAGGGATATTGGCCTTTAGTTTTCTATTTTTGTTTTTTCGTCTTGTTTTAGTATCAGGGTAATGCTATCCTTATAGAATGTGTTTGGAAGAGTTTCCTCCTCTTCTGTTTTTTGAAACAGCTTGAAAAGAAATTGTATTAAGGGTTTTTTTTCTCTAAAGTTTTGAACAATTCAGCAGTGAAACCATTTGATCCTGGACTTTTTTGTTGTTGTTGTTGTTGGCAGATGTTTACTTACAGATTCAATCTTATTACTCATTATTGGTCTGTTCAGGTTTGTTTTTTCTTCTTGGTTCAATCTTTATAGGCAGTTTATCTTCAGGAATTTATCTGTTTCCTCTAGGTTTTCTAATTTGTTGGTATATGGTTGTTCATAATATTTTCTAATGATCCTTTGTGTTTCTGTGGTATCACTTATAATGTCTCCTTTTTCATTTCTGATTTTATTTATTTGGGTTTTCTCTCTTCTTAATTAGTTTAGCTAATGGTTTGCCAATTTTGTTAAACTTTTCAGGAAAATCAACTTTTCATTTTATTAATATTTCACATTTTTAGTCTCAATTTTATTTCTTTCTGCTTTGATCTTTATTATTATTTCTTTCCTTCTACTACTTTCAGGTTTGATTTGTTCTCACTTTTCTAGTTCCTTGAGGTATATTGCTAGGTTGTTTATTGGAAATATTTCTTATGTAGGAGTTTGTTACCATAAATTTCCCTCTTAATATTGCTTTTGCTGTATTCTATAGGTTTTGGAATTTTGTGTTTCTATTTTTATTTTATTTTAAGTTACAGGGCAAATGTGCAGGATGTACAGGTTTGTTACACAGGTAAATGTGTGCCATGGTGATTTGCTGCACCTATCAACCCATCACCTAGGTATTAAGCCCAGCAAGCATTAGCTATTTTTCCTAATGCTCTCCCTCCTACTGCCCCCCCACCCCAACAAGCCCCAGTATGTTGTATCCCTCTCTGTGTCTATGTGTTCACATTGTTCAGCTCTCACTTATAAGTGAGAACATATGGTGTTTTGTTTTCTATTCCTGCATTAGTTTGCTGAGGATAATGGCTTCTGGCCTCATCCATGTCCCTGCAAAGGACATGATCACCAGTGGCTCACGCCTGTAATTTCAGCTTTGGGAGGCCAAGGCGGGCAGATCACCTGAGGTCAGGAGTTCGAGACCAGCCTGGCCAACATGTTGAAACCCCATCTCTACAAAACTACAAAACTTAGCCAGGCATGATGGCGGGTGCCTGTAATCCCAGCTACTATGGAGGCTGAGGCAGGAGAATAACTTGAACCCAGGAGGTGGAGGTTGCAGTGAGCTTAGATCGTGCCATTGCACTCCAGCCTGGGTGACAGAGTGAGACACTGTCTCAAAAAAAAGACCATAAATTAAATAAAGATCTCATTCCTTTTTATGGCTGCATAGTATTCCATGGTGTATATGTACCATATTTTTTTTAATCCAGTGTATTATTGATGGGCTTTTGGGTTGATTCCATGTCTTTGCTATTGTGAATAGTGTTGCAGTGGACATATATGTGCATGTACCTTTATAACAGAATGATTTATATTATTTTGGGTATATACCCAGTAGTGAGATTACTGGGGCAAATGGTATTTCTGGTTCTAGGTCTTTGAGGAATTGCTACACTGTCTTCTACAATGATTGAACTAATTACATTCCCACCAACAGTGTAAAAGTGTTCCTATTTCTCTGCAGCTTCACCAGCATCATTGTTTCTTGACTTTTTAATAATTGCCATTGTGACTGGCATGAGATGTTATCTTATTGTGGTTTTGATTTGCATTTCTCTAATGATCAGTGATGTTGAGTTTTTTCGTATGTTTGCTGACTGCATGTATGGAGATTGAGGAGAATAACCCTGCACTGCCCAAGGCAACAGCAATGGCCTTCTCTGAGGCAGTGGCTATGCAATGTTTATTCTCCTCAGGGCCCACCCCCAACACCCCTGTTTGCTTCTAGACCTATAACTAGACTAAAGTCCCAGCAGGCCCCTAGATGTGAGGTTCAGAGTGTGACCCATGAAGAAGTGTGCTACAATCCAAAAGAACTGCTTGAGTTTTCTAATTTAAATGAGCAGAAATCTAAAGAACAGGCACGGGAATGGATATTAAGGGTGTGGGATAATGGTGGAAGGAACATAAAGTTGTATCTGG
The DNA here is from genome assembly GCF_000001405.40 of Homo sapiens. NCBI lineage: Eukaryota > Metazoa > Chordata > Mammalia > Primates > Hominidae > Homo > Homo sapiens. The sequence continues at coordinate 3,426,865 of NC_000017.11, read as the reverse complement.
CTGAATTTATTGCTTTGGGCCCACTAAGCAGGGATTCTGCATTTAATGTTGCTGCTTGGGAAGTTAAAAAAGATTCTACTAGCTTATTTGCTTGGTTAGCTGAAATATGGATTAAAAGATGGCCCACTGTGAGCGAGCTGGAAATGCCTGATCTTCTTTGGTTTAATGTAGAGGAAGGAATCCAAAGGCTTAGGGAGATAGGGATGCTGGAGTGGATTAGTCACTTTAGACCTACTCATCCCAGCTGGGAGGGCCCAGAAGATATACCCTTGATTAATACTTTGTGAAATAGATTTGTGAGGGCAGCACCTGCATCCTCAAAGAGCTCTATGATTGCTCCTCTCTGTATGTCAGATCTTACAGTGGGAACTGCAGTCACTCAACTATAAAATTTAAATGCAGTGGGAATAATTGGATCCCGAGGTGGCAGGGGCCAAGTGGCAGCACTCAACCATTAAAGACAAGTTGGCTGTAGCCACCATAATGGACAGCAGAGGCAAAACAGCAATCAGAATAGTCTGACTTGTGTAGAGCTCTGGCATTGGCTAATTAATCATGGTGTTCCTAGAAGTGAAACTGACAGGAAGCCTACTGCATTCTTACTTGATTTATATAAGCAAAAAACTTCCAGGTCCAGTGGACAAAATACTAATTTGATATATAAAAACAGAGAATCATGGCCCCTCAATCAGTTTCCAGACTTGAACCAGTTTACAGACCCAGAACCCTTTGAATGAAGGGGAGGTGGGGTCCCCTTGGGGAAGGACCTCACTACACTACTGACAATTCATGCTGTTAATCTTTCTCCCATTCTTCCCTAAGGAGACCTCTAGCCTTTTACCAGGGTAACTGTGCATTGGGGAAAGGGGAATAATCAGATCTTTCAGGGACTACTAGACACTGGTTCTGAGCTGACATTGATTCCAGGGGATCCGAAACGTCACTGTGGTCCTCCAGTTAAAGTAGGGGCTTATGGAGGTCAGGTAATTAATGGAGTTTTAGCTCAGGTCCAACTTACAGTGAGTCCCTGTACTCATCCCGTGGTCATTTCCCCAGTGCCAGAATGCATAATTGGCATAGACATACGTAGCAGTGTCAGGACCCTCACATTGACTCCTTGACTGGTAGGGTGAGGGCTATTATGGTGGGAAAGGCCAAATGGAAGCCATTAGAGCTGCCTCTACCTAGAAAAATAGTAAATAGAAAACAATATCGCATCCCTGAAGGGATTGCAGAGATTAGTGCAACTATCAAGGATTTGAAGATACAGTGAGATACTCTCACTCCAGTCAGAATGGCTATCATTAAAAAGTCAAAAAATAACAGATGTTGGCGATGTTGTGGAGTAAAAGGAATGCTTATACACTGTTGATGGGAGCATAAATTAGTTCCACCATTGTGGAAGACAGTGTGCCAATTCCTTAAAGACCTAAAAACAGAAATATCACTCAACTCGGCAGTTCCATTACAGGGTATATACTCAATGTAATATAAATAGTTCTATCATAAAGACACATGCACGCTTATGTTCACTGCAACACTATTCACAAAAGCAAAGACATGGTATCAGCCTAAATGCTCATCAATGGTAAAATGGATAAAGAAAATATGTTACATGTACACCACGAAATACTATGCAGCCATAAAAAAGAATGAGATCATGTCCTTTGCAGGAACATGGATGGAGCTTGGAGGCCGTTATCCTTAGCAAACTAACTCGGAACAGAAAACCAAATACTGCATGTTCTCACTTATAAGTGGGAGCTAAGTGATGAGAACACATGGACACATAGAGGGGAACAACGCTCACTGGGGCCTATCAGAGAGTGAAGGTTGGGAGGAGGGGGAGGATCAGGAAAAATAACTAATGGGTACTAGGTTTAATATGTGAGTGGCAAAATAATCTGTACAACAAACTCTCATGACACAAGTTTACCTATATAACTTATATTACCTATATATACCTATATAGGTATATATAACCTATATTACCCATATATAACAAACCTGCACATGTACTCCTGAACTTAAAAGTTAAAAAAAGAATGCCCTGTAAGGTAAAGGAAATACCAAATATAGAACATGTTGATTATCATTTGTTAATCAGCTCTGATCAGCAATTACTGAGATATTTGGTTGATACAAAGTTTTATCCCTCAATTTGTTGGTAAAATAGGGATGATAGCTCAAACAGTGACTTTAAGGATTAAATGAATTCTCTTATGTAATGTGGATAGAGCATTTACTAGCACCTGGTAAGTACTCAATACATGGCACCTACTTAAATAAATAAATAAAACTAAAATTAATGAAAAAAGAAATTAAAAATTCAAATTAAAATACTGCAATTTCTCAACCTTCAGGTTATAAAAATCGAGAAAAAAATTTTTTAATAACAACCATTGATGGGAGGGATGTGGGTAAACAAACACTATCACAACAGCAAATCTGTAAATTGGCCCAAAAGTTTTAGAAATTAAGATGTGTATGTGTTTGTGCATGTGTATCTTAAAATTTATATTTGTTATTTATATTTTATAATCTGATAAAGTTATTCATGTGAATTAATCCTGGGGAAATAATTACATAAATTTAGAAAAATGCCCCGTAAGGATATTCATCACAATATTATTTGTTATTGCAAAACAATTAGAAACAACCCAAGTTATATCAGTGGAGTTTTGATTAAATAAATTATAGTTTATATGTTTAATGATATACTGTGTCATCATTAAAAGAGATAAAGCAGAATTTTAGTCTTTATCATGTAAAAGATTATATTGTATAACATGTAGGGAAAATCATAAAGCAGATCACAGAACAGTATGTTTCTACAGATGTGAAGTAGGCATATCATATATATAGGAAATCTTTGGAGGATTAAACACCAAGTTCTTTTTTTTTTTTTTTTTCTTTTTTTGAGATGGCATTTCGCTCTTGTTGCCCAGGCTGGAGTGTAGGCGGGAGTGCAGTGGCGCTATCTCAGCTCACTGCAACTTCTGCCTTCTGGGTTCAAGCGATTCTCCTGCCTCAGCCTCCCAACTAGCTGGGATTACAGGTGCCCGCCATCATGCCCGGCTAATTTTTGTATTTTTAGTAGAGATGGGGTTTCACCATGTTGGCCAGCATGGTCTCGAACTCCTGACCTCAGGTGATCTACCTGCCTTGGCCTCCCAAAGCACTGGGATGACAGGCGTGAGCCACCATGCCTGGTCATCAAATTCTTAAGAGGAGTTAACTCTGATGAGGTTTTTGGCGAGGTGAAGGAATAATTGGATTTTTATTTCCCATTTGAAAGAATAATATTTTCTGAATGTTTCCACTATCAGGTATAATATTTCTGAAACATTTAAAAATAGGTATATTTATATTTGAGAGCACAAAGAGAGAAACTCCCAAGGAAGTACATCTTTCTCACTTGTTCAGGAAACCCCTCAGTGTTGGAGGACAGGTGGAACACAGGAAAGGAGGTGGCAATGCCACACAGGAGGCAGTGCCAGGGCCTGGGATCTTTGGGGGTCATAGACAAGCGTTAGATGCTCACGGCGTAGATGGAGTGGTGGAAATGGTGGTGGTAATGCTCTCAAAATGTTTGTGATGTGTTCAGACCCAGGGAAGAGCTCATTCAGACTATTATGATCAGAGGTCATTAAATGTGAGGAACCGTGGATAGAAAATCTTGTCCCAGTCCCTTATGGTACAGGTGGACACAAGCCCAACCATGGTAAGGAACTTTCTAAGATCACAGAGCAGTGGATGAGTAGGAATGATGTGATTACAACCCGTGTCCGTGATTTTCATTCACAAGAACTTTGCCCTTAAGGGAAGCTCAAGTTCTTTAACGTTAAAGTGTCTGGACACCCAAGAGCATCAGGTAAGAGACATACTTCTCTCTTCCCATTCTCTCATTGCATCATTTCCTTCATTACTTCCATCCTTCCTTCTTACCACTTTTGCTCATCACCCTGTCCCATCCCTCTCGATATGCTCATTTCATCTTCATTGCTCCGCTCCAATCCGTTCCTACCTCCCACTCTCACATCTTGTCTTCACAACCTTATCTCAGCCCATCCTTCCAGTCAACCCCAAGAGGAAATCACAGAGAAGCCAAGGTTCAGGTGCACCCATGGACAGTTTTAGGGATGAACAGCAGAGGGACAGTAGTGTTGCTAGGACGCAGTAAACAGTCTTCCTAGAGGGGCTGGAGAGAATCAGGAATTAATGGGCTGAAACCTGGATAGACATCAAGATGAGGAAATGCTCTGGGTTGCAGCAGTATTGATGTATTAATCAAATAAAGTTAAAGTTAGAAGGAGGTGTCACTCCCAGGGACTGCATTTATGGGTGTGTATTTTCAGGCTAGAAGGTTTGGGATAGAAAAGTAAGACTTTGGAGGAGAATGTTGTATTGGGTATTCTACAATAAAATTCTGAGGACCTAGTTGGAACATAAACGCTTACTGTTTCAAAAAGTATCATATGTGTCAGGAAGATGATTTATCAAATAAGACAGAAAGATACCGCAGGGGATGGAAATAGGACATTCCCTTTTTGATCTTAAGGTATATCACTTATGTATTAACATAGTTTTTATTTAGTAGCTCTTTCCTTCTCTAGACCCCACCTGTTGCCTGATCGTCCTATGGGATTCCCGTGTGGTATTAAAGCGAGGGAACTGATTTTATGGGAGGTGAAAGGTGAACAGTAGCATGAAATGATTCCTGGCACTGGGCCCACGGTTCAAAATACCTTTCCACACTCTGATCTGGAGGGAGTCTCACATCCCTCTGGAAGGAAACTTTGCAGTGATATTCTTGGTTACCTAGGCTGGGATGAAGTGGCCCTTTCCTGTAGGACATTGCTGCTCAGGCATAAAGTGCTGCCAAGATTTCAGCTCTACCGAGAAAGCGGGCACAGCCCAAAGCAAGGTACCAACTTGCCCAGGAGGCCTGGTTGGCAGAAGCTCACTTCATGTCTTCCTGTCTTACCAGCTTTTTTCTATAGAGTGTATCACCATGTGGTATACTATATATGATGCTTATTTATTTATTTAGCCTACCTTTATAGCATGTGATTTGCTTGAGTGCAGAGACTTTTGTCCATTTTGCTCACCAATGCCCTAGAAGATTGTTTGGATCATAGAAGTAATTTAATAAATATTTGTTGAATGAATAAATGAATGAATTATATAGGGTTTCCTTGTAGGCCAAACACATAACACCACTCCTCAGGCATCAGGAGATAGAAATAATGGTTATAAACAAGGTTTGTTGGTTACTATCTTCTCGGGAAATTTTCCTCGGTCCAGAAAAGGCAGGAAAGGAGGTCATCTCTCAGGTCAGTGATCGCTTCCCCACAAGTAGCTGACACAGAGCGCCCTGAACATCAGTATTTCTGAGGCTGTAGATAAGTGGGTTCAGCATGGGGTTGATCACAGTCATGAAAACCCCAACCCCCTTATCCTTGTCTGAAGATTCCACTGAACCCAGCCTCATGTAGCTGAAGACACCTGTCCCATAGAAGATGCCCACCACAGTGAGGTGGGAGCCACATGTGGAGAAGGCCTTCTTTCTGCCCTCAGCAGAGCGGATTTGCAGCACAGCAGCTACCACATGGGCATAGGACACACTGATGAAGACCAAGGGTGCCACAGCCATGAAGGCTGCTGCTACAAAGAGCAGCAGCTCATTGAGTTGGGTGCTGGAGCAGGAGAGCTGGAAGAGCTGTGGGAGGTCACAGTAGAAGTGATTGACCTCATTGGGGCCACAGAAGTTGAGCGTGGACATGGCCACAGTGTGGGTCAGTGCGTTGGTGAAGGCACAAGCCCAGGACGCAGCCACCAACATCCTCTGGACTGTCTGACTCATGCGGGTGCTGTAGGTGAGGGGCTGGCAGATGGCCAGGAGTCGGTCATAGGCCATGGCGGTCAGCAGGAAGCAGTCCATCCCAGCCAGAAGGTGGAAGAAGAAGAGCTGGGAGAGGCAGGCGTCATAGGAAATTGTGGACTTGTGGGACAAGAGACGACCCAACATTGCAGGAACAGTGACAGTGATACATCCGACATCCAGCACTGACAGGTTCCCCAGGAAGAAGTACATGGGGGCGTGGAGTTTGGGCTCCACCAAGACGGCTGCCAGGATGCTGAGGTTGCCCCCAGTTGTGACCAGATAGGCAAAGAGGAGGAGCACAAAGACAACTGGCTGCATCTCTTCTGTTTGCACTAGGCCCAGTAGAATGAACTCAGCAACAGCGGTCCTATTGGTCCCAGCTTCTGGCTCCATGAGTTTCTGTAAGGACATGTCCCAGCAGGGGAGGTATCAGTTCACTCAGTTCACATTAACATTTTAAACCATTTATGTTCAAAGCCCCGTGGCGAGTCCCCAGGCCATCCCTCACTCCTCCAACACCTCAATGCCTTTACCTTGCTCTTGGTTGAGATGCCGAATGCCACCACCACCTTGTCCCTCTCATCCTCTGCTAGCTGAAAAGGTCAGAATACTTGGGAAAATAAGCTAAGATAAAAGATCTAATTTATAACATGAGGATTATAGTTAATAAAGTGTATTGTATTCAAGATTTTTGCTAAATGAGTAGATTATAGTTGCTCTTGCCGGAAGGGGGAAAATGGGTAACTGTGTGAGATGATGGATATGTTAATTTGTTTCACTATACTAATCATTTTACTGTCTACGTGTATCTCGTAACTTCATGTGGTGAACCTTAAATATACGCAATAAAATTTGTTAAAAAAAAGGCAAAAGACTTCCTTTTTGAATATAGTGAGATTAAGATAGAATTTTCCCCGGGCGCAGTGGCTCATGCCTGTAATCCCAGCACTTTGGGAGGCCAAGGCAGGCGGATCACGAGGTCAGGAGATTGAGACCATCCTGGCTAACACAGCGAAACCCCGTCTCTACTAAAAATACAAAAAAAATCAGCCGGGCTTGGTGGCAGGCGCCTGTAGTCCCAGCTACTCGGGAGGCTGAGGCAGGAGAATGGCGTGAACCTGGGAGGCTGAGGCGGGAGAATGGTGTGAACCCAGGAGGTGGAGCTTGCAGTGAGCCGAGATCGCGCCACTGCACTCCAGCCTGGGCGACAGAGTGAGACTCCGTCTCAAAAAAAAAAAAAAAAAAAAAAGATAGAATTTTCCCATTTTTCTCTGAGGGATCAACCCAAACTAATAAGCAGATTACATTTTAATAATTTATTTTTAATTGATGAATAATAATTGTGTATATTTATGGGGTACAGTGTGATATTGATTGGCATATGCTTTGTAAAATGATTAAATCAAGGTAATTAACATAGCCATCCCTTCAACAACTCATTTTTGTGGTGAGAATGTTAAAATATATCCTTTTATACAAACTGGATGACATTATGCTAAGTGAAATAAACTAGACACAGAAAGATAAATATTTGACAATTTCACTTACATGTGGAATCTAAAAAGTCAATGTCATAGAATCAGAGACCAATAAGCAGACTTCAAAATAGAAAAATTCATGAGAGTTTCAGAGAAACTAGAAAATATTGAAACTGTTGCCTAGGTTTCAAGGCTTCTGGAAATAGTGAAGATCAAGTGAAGGTATGCCAGGAATCAGAGAGAAGATACTCATGATTCTGAATGTCAGAAAGACCAGCCCAGCACATTTCTTCAAAGAGAGGGACCACACTATGAAGTGTCAATTCAACACTCCTTGTTCAATTAATTGCTAGTGTTATTATTGTTACTTAAATCCTTACACTGGACTTTGACTAACAAGTTAATTTAAAATTATTTTTTCTGTGTACATTGTCAGCTACTCCCCTCTAAAACCAAAGTTGTAATCATGTCCTGTGGGTTGGTTGCTGCCAGGTGCAGTTAGGGTTCTACATTGCACAGACACTGGTCTTCTACTTGTCCTTCATTCAGGCATGGTAGATTGACCAATGACTCTAAGGCTATGTCTTCAAATGAAGAAGGCATGTACTTGGAAAGCCATACTGAATTATGTCAAACTCTGAATCAAAAAAATATCAATGTCTTTATTGACTAGAGACAAGTAGGGCTTGAGCTTCCTTAAGAGCAATATCATACCCTTGTATCTGAAATCAGAAGATGGGAAGGGGTTGGAGTCTGATAACTCTAACAGAAAGGGAAGCATGATGATTGCCTGAACTGGGGCAGTGAAATTCAGGGCCAGGAGCGGTTAAGAAAATCATATCTCAGAAATCAGAGTGCTGTAGTAGTATGGTTGATGTGACTGCTTTGGGGGATGGTCACCAAAATATTCTTTAAAATCCTTTGTTTATAAAAGTGGAAATGGTTGGTGGCATGGTCTTCTTTGGTCTCAGTTTGGATCTGAGAAGCAGAGGAGACAGGACTGAATGAGAAGCCACCCAGGCAAGCTGATTGTGTAGTGTTTAGGTGAGACTGTAAAAGCAAGAAAACTGCCTTGTCAGCAGTTCCTCAGCTGTGTGTCAGCATTGACATTAGAGAAGTCAAGGCAAAAGGTACTCAAAAACAACCGTGAATCAAGACATGCACCTGTCCCCAGCAAAAACCTCTCATGAAAAACTGGCTGAGAAACCTTTCGATTCATTTAGACTTCAAAAGGGAACCAGCACAAGGTCTAGTTAAAGATACTCAAGAAAAAAATGGGGAGGGTAGAGGAGAGAAACTAGGACAAACAAATGCTAGACTACAAACACTCAGAAGAAAAATTGTGGCATAGAGCTACTGAATAACTGAAAAACAAAAAACAAGTGTGAACTTAAAACATGTAATAAACCATTCACCTCTATGTGACAAGAACACAAGACAGAGATACAAGACCTCAGGGAAGAGTTTCAAGATACCAGATGGAAGTGAAATGTGAGATAACAGAACTCAGGTAAAAAATGAGCATGGAGGAACAAACAATTAGACAAAATAAAACTTTCCAGAAATAACTGAAGACCGGCTTCTAGAGACTGAAAAGTCACAACATGTACCAGGAGACAGAAACAGGTCCCATTCTGAGATAGTCCTAGTAAGGTCATTGTAATTAAAAAATAATGAATCCTTTGGGTATATTGGCAGAAATCAAGTCACTTACAATAGAATGAGAAGATGCTTATCTTAAATTTCTCTACAGAAGTATTCAAGACTAGAAGAAAATAGAAAACTTCCTATAAAATCTTCATAGAAGGAAAATGTAACCAAAGAATTTTCTATTAAGACAAACTGTAACTCAAATATACAAGCAACAGCCTAAAGTTTTTGGACACTCAAAAACTCAAGAATAGTTGTTCTATGAGCCCCATAGAATAAACTTCTAGAGGATAAACTTCAGCCAACAAAGAGAAGAGGAAGGAAAAAGAAAACAAAATAACTGGTAATAAGCACTGAATTTTTTTTACTGTAAGACGTATATGGGGATTGTGGTTTCAGAATAAAATATAAATGTTTGAACAATGACACTGTAGAAATCTAATAAAGTTAAGAGGAGAAGAAAGAACATGTAGAGATGGTGTAGGTATGCTGACTTCCTTAGTTGTCTTACAATTGTAAGTCAAAAGATATGTTCATGTTAATCAGCAAAAATGTTGAAATGAAAAGGCTTAACCCAATCATGAATTTAGAATAAGAAAACAAAAGAAATTTAAGAAAATCTAAAGGAATTCCATAGTAAAAAATTAGAAAATAGACAAACAAAAGAATGAATACAAATTGAGAACAGGTTGTTTGTGGTAAAATGAAATTGACAAACCTTAACTAAGTGATCTAATCGTGAGTAAAAGCAAAAAAGTATAAGCATGCAAAATAATAATTGACAGGGAGAAAATAAACATAGCCCAATAGAAAATTGAAAAATTCTAGTAGAGAATAGAATGGTGGTGATTGGAGGCTGGGAAGGGTGAGGGGAAGGAGTGATAAAGATAAATTGGTTAATGGGTACAAAAATACAGTTAAATAAAAGGAACAAGTTCTAGAATTTGATAGAGTATGGAGACTATAGTTAACAATAATTTATTGTATATTTCAAAATAGCCAGAAGAATTGGAATGTCCCCAACACAAAGACAAATGTTTGAGGTGATGGATATCCAAATTACCCTGATTTGATCCTTACACATTGTTTTATATATATATACACACATCACAGTGTACTCCCTAAATATATACAACTATTATATTTCAATAAAAATTATAAAATTCTATTTTTCTGAACTCCAAGTTATAAAAGTTTTCTATGAAGTTATGATTTATTAAAATAATTCTAGAACAGTTAGAAAATCTAAACAGACTACTATAGAAAAAGTAGAGAAAGAGCTAGCTTCCAATTGCCACTAATGAAAAGCAACATCTCCGTAAAATGCCACAGGGAAGTTTGTAATGACGATCAAACTATTCAAGAATATAAAAGAAGAAAGCTTCCATTTTTTTTTTGCGAAGTGTGCATAACTAGCTCAAAAGAAAAGAAAAAAATTTATGTTAAAGTAAAGAAAATATGAAATCATAAAAGATTAACAAATTTATTTCAGTAATTTTACCAAAATAATTAACCATAAGTATTTGGGATTTGGTCAGGAATGCCAGGTTAGTTCAAAATGAGAAAATGTATTAATATGTTTTATGATATTAACAGATGTAAAGGGAGATTATGTGATCCTTTCCATAGATGCTAAAAAGGCATTTGATTATATTAAATGTTCATTTTGATTTCTGAAATCTTATAATAAAATAGGAATAGTTAGGTACTTACCTAACATGTTAAAATAAAACTAAGTAGGCCAGGTGCAGTGGCTCACATCTGTAATCCCAGCACGTTGGGAGGCTGAGGCAGGTGGATCACTTGAGCTCAAGAGTTTGACAACAGCCTGGCCAGCATGGTGAAACCCCATCTCTATCAAAAATACAAAAATTAGCCAGGCGTGATGGTGCTCGCCTGTAATCCCAGCTACTTGGTATGCGGCTGAAACATGAGAATTGCTTAAACCTAGGAGGTGGAGGTTGTAGTGAGCCAAGATCGTGCCCCTTCACTCCAGCCTGGGTCTCAAATAATAATAATAATAATAATAATAATAATAATAATAATAATAATTTAAAAATAAGTAAATAAAAAATAAAATAAAACGAACTAAACTCCAAAGACAGCATCATGTTTAATAGAAAAACATTAAAAGCATTCTCAGTCAAGTCACTAATGAGACAAGTAAATTCATTATCAATTATTATTTAACATTGTTCTGAAAGCTTTAGCCAATGCAAGAAATTAAAAGACCATATATTAGAAAGCAATAAAACAGTTGTTGGTTTTTCTTTTCTTTTTTTTTTTTTTGAGTTGGAGTTTCGCTTTTGTCACCCAGGCTGGAGTGCAGTGGCATGATCTTGGCTCACTGCAACCTCCACCTCCCAGGTTCAAGCAATTCTCCTGCCTCATCCTCCCGAGTAGCTGGGACTACAGGCACCCGCCACCACGTCTGGCTAATTTTTGTATTTTTAGTAGAGATAGGGTTTCACCATGTTGACCAGGCTGGTCTCGAACTCCTGACCTCATGTGATCCGCCCGCCTCGGCCTCCCAAAGTGCTGGGATTACACGTGTGAGCCACCGAGCCCAGCTGGAAAACTCTTAAAAATATGAAAGTATAGGAAAATTTCAAGATAAAAAGTAAATATAAAAATAATATACGATAATATGTTGTTTTCTTATATATACCATAATAAACTAGAAAAAATAATTGTAAAAAATTCACATTAACAGAAATGACTTTAAAATCAAGCAAATTCTTGTGGTAAGATATTCAGTAAGTAAAAGGAAAGACAAAACTGTATACTTAAAATATGATCTCACTGTTACCACATACACATATAATAAACAGAAGGAAACTCTGAGCTATTGCAGTGGTTTTCAAAGAGTGGTAGTAATATAATGGGTTTTAGTGTTTTTCATTGGAGATTTTAAATGTTAACATATTACCTATATTATTTTTTTAATGATTATTAATATACTTTTTATGAATGATCGAATTATTCCCACCCTCTCAGTGGCTACGACTTGTAAATTTCAAAGTCCCTTGCCTTGCACGCTGCGGTAGTTGCTATCCACAGAAGAGCCTTGGGTGGGTTCTGGGAGTAGACAGCAGCTCTCCCAGGCTATTTTACTTCCTGTCAACCAAATTCCATTTCTGGTGATGAGCTATCTCCTGGCTTGCCAGTAAATGCCTTTTCTCTGACATCCTGAGGTGATTTGGGTCTTTTCTCCAGTTACCAAGAATGTGTCCAGTGGTCTCTGATCGCATTGCTGCTCCAATTGTCAAAGCACTATCAGATGGGTTTTGTGACTCTTAAAATCCTGAGATCGTTTCGGAGAATTCACACTACCTTCCTGCATCGTGTTTTTCTTTCTTTGTAAAGATGTTAGGAAATCCACCGGGCATTCATTCCTCGCTGATGCTCTATGAAAATGTACTGCAGTGAGTCTCAACCTCAGCTGCACAGTAGAAATATGTGGAGCTTCAAAAAAATCCTGGCCGGCCATGGTGGCTCACGCCTGTCATCCCAGCACTGTGGGAGGCCGAGGTGGGCGGATCATGAGGTCAGGAGATCGAGACCATCCTGGTTAACATGGTGAAACCCCGTCTCTACTGAAAATACAAAAAATTAGTCCGGTGCGGTGGCGGGCACCTGTAGTCCCAGCTACTCGGGTGGCTGAGGCAGGAGAATCGCTTGAACCCGGGAGGTGGAGGTTGCAGTGAGCTGAAATTGCGCCACTGCACTCCAGCCTGGGCGACTCCGTCTGAGACTCTGTCTCAAAAAAAAGAGTCAAGGTAGTCTCTAAAGACTGACCCGCAGTTTCATGTGGATAACGTGCATCTCACTGGAGTCTCTACAGCAAGAGGATGTCTCCAATGTGAGGCTGTCTCGATGACCAGCCTTCCAAATGAGGTCTCCACTGTGTGTGCTCAGGCCACGGGGAAGCTGCAGAGGGGATGCCACATGGATGAGAATGTGGATGCGGTAATCTCTAAGAGGTCCTTAAAGTTTTTTTTTTTTGTTTTTTGTTTTTTTGTTTTTTTTTGAGATGGAGTCTTGCTCTATCACCAGGCTGGAGTGCAGTGGCATGATTTTGATGATCTTGGCTCACTGCAACCTCCACCTCCCAGGTTCAAGTGATTCTCCTGCCTCAGCCTCCCGAGCAGCTGGGACTACAGGTGCCTGCCACCACGCCCGGCTAATTTTTGTATTTTTAGTAGAGACAGGGTTTCACCATGTTGACCAGGTTGGTCTCGAACAACTGACCTCATGATCCGCCCACCTCGGCCTCCCAAAGTGCTGGGATTACAGGCGTGAGCCACCGCATCCATCCAGGTCCTTAAAATTCTAAGATCACATGACTTGGGAGTGGGAAGAAATCATCTTCTGGTATGATTATCTTGATGAAATTGGTAATTGTAAATGCTTTGCAAATTGGCAAATCAGTGGGTAGGTAACAGCTCTGTACATATGTTCTTTTGAAGAAGATATTTTTGCGATAGTTTTCCTCCAAGTCCACTTCCCAAATATTTCAAGACTTGACGCCAGTTGCTGGCTGCTGAACTCATCTTTCCGTGAAACTTTCCCATCTCAAAAGGATCACTCTCCCTCTCACTCCTGCCTGTCTCTCTGTTTCTCTCTTTCCCTGTCTTTGCCTCCCTCCTGCTGCTTCTCTCCTAAACTCCCACACATATTATTTCATGCAACTTACTATGCTTTACCTTCCAGTTCAGTCATTGCTCTATAGAACATATCTTTCTTACATCTCTGTAAGTAATTCGAGGACAAAACATGTTTGATTCAGTCTTTTCAATAGCAGTAACCATCATAATACTTCAATATTTGTGAAACGAATTATCAATTGTTCTAACGTTCGTACAATTTCAGAGAAAGAGAGCATCAGTATAAGCTAGAGTTGTCATGGAAGACTTTCCGGACACATTAATATTTGGGCTAGACTTTCCTGGCTTAGTGTGCTTTAGGGGAGGTACAGGTTAAATGCAGGGTGCAAGGTTGTGGCAGGGACTCCTTTGTGTTAACAGGACAAGCAGGTCATGGACCAGTCCACATGCTTCTTTTTACTTAAACCTCCCAAAACAATACGGCCCTTAGGAGGGGCCACACCTTACAGACAAGTAAGTCATGGTCAGGGGTAGAAGAACCACTAAACAGCTGTTGCCAACCCTCAGACAGCTAGAGATACAATTGCTTAAAACCAGGGGGATTCTGGGATGACCTCAGGTCACCCTGAGACACCCAGAGGGTCTGACAGGGTCCCCACGAGGCCCACTGGGGAGCCCTCCTGCACGACCACTCTCGAGGCTCCCCTTACGAGCTGTGACAGCTCCCTGCTCTGGAACTCCAGCCCATCCCTCACGCGCCCAACATGACGAGGCTCAAGGACTTCGCTGGAGCGAGGGTTCCCCGCTGCCTGATGCAGTGGGTGCGGGCAGTGAACTGGTCTGAGCGAGTCTCCTCACACTCATGCTAACAGGCAGCAGGCTTCATCTGAGAGAGGCGAGCACGGGGAAAACCACAAAAGAACCCAGGACCTCCGGGCTGTAGTGCCAGGTCTTCCCCTAAATGGCTTTCCCTGTCAGGGGCATCCATCGCACCAGGCTTACTAAGCTGATGGCAACAGAAGCCCCTTCTCTATTCTGTAGGAGCAGAGGAAGGACTCAGGAGAACACTCACCCTGGCAAGGGCACGGAAGCCACTGAGGTTTCCTCAGGAAAGAAGGGGAGGAGCTGCACACACCCCGTTATCCTCCCGGAGAGCGAGTGAGGGGCTAATGACTGAGAAATGAGAGGAATCAAGCTGCTGTCTTCTCTGTACAGGGCTGTGTTCACTACAGCATTCTCCTCTGGGGCACTCAGAAACTGGCTCTCCTAGGAGAGAGAAGGATGGGGGGAGAGACACGGAAAAGGAGACACCTCAGGCCCTTCATACTCATGGCAACGATGCCTCACACCTTCTGGTATTTAGACTTTCTCACAAGGAAGGCTTTGCCTCTAGCCCTGGCTTTGTGGGCAGGTTGTTACGGCAGATGATGTCGGCTCTGCTTAATGTGGGTCACTGAGGCCTACAGGACTTGCCTATGTCCTCAAAGTCCCCCAGGAAGGGAGAGGTGCAGCTGGAGACTCTATATGGGCTTTCTAAGGAGACATTTTCTTTTCTTTTCTTTTTTCTTTGAGACGGAGTCTCGCTCTGTCGCCCAGGCTGGAGTGCAGTGGTGCGATCTCGGTTCACTGCAAGGTTCACGCCATTCTCCCAGGTTCACACCATTCTCCTGCCTCAGCCTCCCGAGTAGCTGGGACTACAGGCATCTGCCTCCACACCCAGCTAATTTTTTGTATTTTTTTAGTAGAGACGGGGTTTTACCATGTTAGCCAGGATGGTCTCAGTCTCCTGACCTCATGATCCGCCTGCCTCTTCTTTCTCAGATATCAACCAGGGCATTTGAGCAGAGACAAGCAAATTCCTGAACTTGTCTTGGACCTGGGGAGGGAGGAGGAGGAGGCCCCAGAAGGGATATAAGAGGGGAAAGTGTTCTTCAAAGCTGGTTTCCTGTTGAGCCCTCAGTAGTGAGGCGCTTTCTCTCTTGGGGCCTTGTTAGTGGGGGCCACTGGGACTGTGTCTTGGGGATCCTATAATGATTCTGGAGGTGCTGGGAGATGAGCCCTGTGATGCTAGCAGGACTACTGGGAAGGTGCCTATCAACATGATTTTCTAAGTCCGGCCCTGAGGAATTGAGAGGCCTGGTGAAGGTGGCAGGTTAATGAACAGAAGCTGTGGGAAGGTGTAGAAGTGTGTTCCTCTGACTCCTCTTCCCACTAACATTCCCTCGCCTAAGAGAGAGGGCTCCTTCTTCTCCCACCAGGGAGTTGTGGTGCAGTAGAAAAAGCAGAATAGACAAACCTGTTCTTCTGATTATTAGTGGTTTGACTCTGAACAAGCTGCAAAGTCAGTTTTTGAGCCTCAGTTTCCTCATCTGTAAAATGAGCATATTCTCCCCTACAGAGCACTGCTGTCTGAACATTAAACGAAGTAGGATTCATTAAGCTGCTAACAGAAGTTCAACAATTCATCTACATACAAACTGAGAACATTTGTGAGTGTTTGTTATTTACATGGTAATTTGCTAAGAACCGTACAAGCCTGGAGGGTCTATCAGTCTTCCTAACACTTCTGCAAAGTAGATTGTAGCAGACAGATCAGATGTTCTGCTTCACATCTGGAGAACAAAGGAGACAAGATGCTTGTCTTCTGATTTCAGCCATGGTTGCAGGGGATAGTTCCTTGCAGGCTTCCATTGCAAGCTGACAGTGAAGCCTCTTCCCTGGGATCCTCTGATGCCACAAACAGTGGGGGAGCTTACTCTGTCTCAGCACATGTGGAGCTCAGAAGTGCAGAGGGCAACTTGACAATGGGGAATGGAGCCAGGGGATAAATATCCCAGGAGCCAGGCGCAGTGGCTCACGCCTATGATCCCAGCACTTTGGGAGGCCGAGGCGGGCAGATCACCCGAGGTTGGGAGTTCGAGACCAGCCTGACCAACATGGAGAAACCCCCTCTTTACTAAAAATACGAAATTAGCCAGGCGTGGTGGCACATGGCTGTAATCCCAGCTACTTGGGAGGCTGAGGCAGGAGAATCGCTTGAACCCAGGAGGCAGAGGTTGCAGTGAGCCAAGATCACACCACTGCACTCCAGCCTGGGGAACAAGAGCGAAATTCCGTCTCAAAAAAAAAGTCCCCTCAGCCCCCATCTTTACACAATTCTGGGAGACATTGTGTATGCTCTGGGTCAATCCAATCTCTAGTGTTCATAGTGGGGACTTGCGTAATATGTTGTTAGTAAGGGACAATTTTTCTTTCTCTGCCTCACCCTCTTCATAAATCAGTCTTGCTCTTGGGGACTAGCTCCCAAATAAATAACTTCACTCTTGCTCCCTGAGATGACTTCCTGCTTAAACCACACACACACACATACACATACACACACACATCTTCTCTCAGGCTCTTCTTTGGTGGGAACCAAACTAAGACAATTGGTTTTGGGAGGGATTCTGGAACTGGAGCATTCACCACTGTTGGAGTAAGTGGGGTTTGTGATAAGCCCTAGCATGTGATAGCATCACAATTACCAAGACTCACTTGTGGTAGTTTGGGATGAGGTACAGGTAGACGGAGAAACACTGTGTCATGTGTTAGCTCCAGCAAGTTAATGTTATAAGAACCATGGTAGTTATTAGAATTAGGATTTTTTTTGAGACAGAGTCTCACTCTGTTATCCAGGCTGGAGAGCAGTGGTGCAATCATAGCTCACTTGCAGGCTCAAGCGCTCCTCCTACCTAAGCCTCCTGAAGAGCTGGTGCATGTCACCACACCTGGTTAAAAAAAATTAAAAAAAAAAATCTATTACAAACCCATACCCACCATCATACCGAACGAGCAAAAGCTGGAAGCTTTTTTTTAATTTTTATTTTTTGTAGAGATGGGATTTTGCTATGTTGCTCAGACTAGTCTTGAACTCCTGGGCTCAAGCAATCCTCCAGCCTCAGCCTCCCAAAATGCTGAGATTGCAGGCATGAGCCACTGTGCCTGGCCTGGAGTTTTAAGAATAGGGATAGCTTTTGTTAACTTCCTTGGAAGCCTGGAAGAAATAGAATGATAGGTCCAGGTTAGTCAACTATCAACTTAGGGTTTATTTTGTAAAAGCCAGAAAATATCCATGGCAACATTTAATGAAACGTTAATCTTCTACAACCATTGACACACGGTGTTGAAAATCAGGCCTGAGACTTAATTCTAAGGGTGCAAGAGCTACTAAGGAGGCAGCACATGTAGCTTAGGTAGGTCTCCTATGCTAAATTACAGACCCTGGGAAGGAAAGAGTGAGACCTTGAGTCTTGTTTGAGTGGATGAACATGAGAATTTTGAATCCTCAGACTCCCCGGAATTCACTTGCTGGGGCAGAAGTATCCCTTCCCCTTGCTAGAAATGAGCAACCTCCTTTTGCCTGAAGACCATGCAAACACCCTATGTGAGGAAGAAGTCTCACAAGATGATTTTTGTTGTCCTCCAGAACTACTTCCATGTCTCCCAGTGCCTCCAAAATAGTTAGGATCAGACAATCACTCAAAACCATGTAACTCCATGGAAATTAAACAACATGATTCTGAACAACTGTTGAATAAATAATGAAATCAAGGCAGAAATCAAGAAGTTGTTTGAAACTAATGAGAACAAAGATACAACACACTGAGTGTGGTGGCTCATGCCTGAAATCCCAGCACTTTGGGAGGCCGAGGTGGGAGGATCACTAGAGGTCAGGAGTTCGAGACCAGCTTGGCCAACATGAAACCCCATCTCTACTAAAAATTCAAAAAAGTAGCCAGGCATGGTGGTGGGCACCTGTAATCCCAGCTACTCAGGAGGCTGAGGCAGGAGAATCACTTGAACCCGGGAGGCAGAGATTGCAGTGAGCCAAGATCATGCCACTGCACTCTAGGCTGGGCGATAGGGTGAGACTCAGTCTCAAAAAGAAGATATAACATACCAGAATCTCTGGGCCACAGCTAAGGCAGTATTAAGAGGAAAATTCATAGCACTACATGCTGACATCTGAAAGTTAGAAAGATCTCAAATTAACAACCTACCATCACAAATGAAAGAATTAGAGAAGCAAGAAAGAATCAACGCCAAAACTGGGAGAAGACAAGAAATTACCAAAATCGGAGTTGAACTGAAGGAAATTGAGACACGAAAAACCATTCAAAAGATCAACAAATAGAGGAGTTGATTTAAAAAAAAAATGAATAAGATAGGCCACTAGCTAGCCTAATAAAGAAGAAAAGAGAGAAGATCCAAATAAACACAATTAGAAATGATAAAGGGAATATTACCACTGACCCCACAGAAATAAAAATAACCATCAGAAATTTCTTCAAATACCTCTGTACAAACAAACTAGAAAACTTAGAAGAGATTGATAGATTCCTGGCCATCTACACTGTCCTGAGACAAACAGGAAGAAATTGATGCCCTGAATAGACCAACAATGAGCTCTGAAATTGAGTCAGTAATAAATAGCCTACCAGCCAAAAAAACCCTTGGACCTGATGGGTTCATAGCTGAATTCGACCAGAAGTACAAAGAAGAGCTGGTACTGGTACCATTCCTACTGAAACTGTTCCAAAAAATTGAGGATGAGGGACTCCTTCCTAACTTGTTCTATGAGGCTAACATCATCCTGATAACAAAACTTGGCAGAGATACAACAGAAAAAGAAAATTTCAGGCCAATATCCTTGATGAACATTGATGCAAAAATCCTCAACAAAATTCTGGCAAACTGAGTCCGGCAGCACATCAAAAAGCTTATCCACCATGATCAAGTATGCTTCATCCCCGGGATGCAAGTTTGGCTCAACATACATAAATCAGTAAATGTAATTAATCACATACACAGAACTAAAGACAAAAACTACATGATTATCTCAATAGATGCAGAAAAGGCTTTCAAAAAAATTTAACATCCCTTCATGTTAAAAACTCTCAATAAACTAGGTATTGAAGGAACATACCTGAAAATAATAAGAGCCATCTATTACAAACCCATAGCCACCATCATACTGAATAGACAAAAGTGGGAAGCATTCCCTTTGAAAACTGGCAGAAGACAAGGATGCCGTCTCTCACCACTCCTATTCAACATAGTATTGGAAGTTCTGGCCAGGGCAATTAGGCAAGAGAAAGAAGCAAAGGGCATTCAAATAAGAATAGAATAAGTTAAATCATTCCTGTTTTCAGATTACATAATCCTATATCTAGAAAACTCCATAGTCTTGGCCCAAAAGCATCTTAATCTGAAAGACAACTTCAGTAAAGTCTCAGGATACAAAATTAATGTGCAAAAATCATTAGCATTCCTATACACCAGCAATAGTCAAGCTGAGAGCCAAATCACGAATGCACGCCCATTCACAATTGCCACAAAAAGAACAATATACCTAGGAATACAGCTAACTAGGGAGGTGAAAGATCTCTACAAGGATAACTACAATACACTCCTCAAAGAAATCAGAGACAACACAAATGGAAAAACATTCCATGCTCATGGATAGGAAGAATCAATATCATTAAAATGCCCATACTGCCTAAAGCAATTTATAGATTCAGTGTTATTCCTATTAAACTACCATTGACATTCTTCATAGCATTAGAGAAAACTACTTTAAAATTCATACAGAGCCAGAAAGACAGCCTGAATAGCCAAGGCAATCGTAAGCAAAAAGAACAAAGCCGAAGACATCACGCTACCCGACTTCAAACTATATTCAAACTATACTACAGGGCTACAGTAACCAAAACAGCATGGCACTGGTACAAAAACAGACACACGGGCACCAATGGAACAGAATAAAGAACCCAGAAATAAGACCACACACCAAGAACTATCTGATCTTTGACAGATAGAAACCTCACAAAAACAAGCAATGGGGAAAGGATTCCCTATTCAATAAATTGTGCTGGGATAACTGGAGAGCCATATGCAGGAGATTGAAACTGGACCCCTTCCTTATACCATATACAAAAATGAACTCACTGCTCTTTTTAAACATTGTACTAGGCAGTGAGAAAGGGCAATAAAAAGAACTAAAATGTATACATATTGGAAAGTAAGAAATTAAACCATCTCTATTCATGTTTGTACAGAATCCACAAAATTATCTAAAAAAGGGTTCTAGAACCAGTAATCAAGTTTAGTAAACCCATAGGGTATAAGGTCAACATATTAAAAAGTTTTATTTGTGTATACAAATATATATATAATATTAATATATTAAAATTATATCAAATAGCAATGAACATGTGGAAGTTGAAAAAAATTAAAGTACTCTTTACATAGCACAATATTATTAAATATTTAAGTATAAGTCTTACAAAAATGTGTAAGATCTATGACATGAAACCTGCAACACTGGTTATGGAAATCAAACACTTAAGAAATGGGTAGATACCCAACTTCAAACTATACTACAATCCTGCAACAACCAAAACAGCATGGTACTGGTACAAAAACAGACACACAGACCGATAGAACAGAATAGAGAACTCCGAAATAAGACTGCACACCTACAACCACCTGATTTTCAAAAAACTTGGCAAAAACAAGCAATGGGGAAAGGATTCCTTATTTAATAAATGGTGTTGGGAGAACTGGCTAGCCATATTCGGAAAATTGAAACTGGATCCCTTCCTTACACCTTATACAAAAACTAACTCAAGATGGCTTAAACCCAAAACTATAAAAACCCTAGAAGAAAATCTAGGACATAGGCACAGGCAAAGATTTCATGATGAAAACATCAAAAGCAATGGCAACAAAAGCAAAAAATGACAAATGGGATCTAATTAAACTAAAAAGCTTTTGCACAGCAAAAGAAACTATCATCAGAGCAAACAGACAACCTATAGAATGGGAGAAAACTTTTGCAATCTCTCCTTCTGACAAAAGTCTAATATCTAGCGTCTACAGGGAACTTAAACAAATTTACAAGAAAAAAAACCCATTAAAAAGTGGGCAAAGGACATGAACAGACACTTCTTGAAAGAAGACATACATGCGGTAAACAAACGTGAAAAAAGGCTCAACATCGCTGATCATTAGAGAAAGCAAATTAAAACCACATTGAGATACCATCTCATGCCAGTCAGAATGGCAATTATTAAAAAGTCATGAAACAACAGATACTGGGGAGGCTGTGGAGTGAAAGGAATGCTTTTACACTGTTGGTGGGAATGAAATTAGTTCAACCATTGTGGAAGACAGTGTGGCAATTCCTCAAAGACCTAAAAACAGAAATACCATTTAACCCAGCAATCCCATTACTGAGTATATACCCAAAGGAATATAAATCATTCTATTATAAAGATACATGAATGCGTATATGTTCATTGCATCACTATTCACAATAGCAAAGACATGGAATCAACCCAAATGCTCATCAATGATAGACTGGATAAAGAAATGTGGTAAATA
Organism: Homo sapiens; assembly: GCF_000001405.40. Taxonomy (NCBI): domain Eukaryota; kingdom Metazoa; phylum Chordata; class Mammalia; order Primates; family Hominidae; genus Homo; species Homo sapiens. The sequence continues at coordinate 3,404,819 of NC_000017.11, read as the reverse complement.
TACACCATGGAATACTATGGAATACTATGCAGCCATAAAAAGAAATGAGATCACGTCATTTGCAGGGACATGGATGGAGCTGGAAGCCATTATCCTCAGCAAACTAATGCAGGAACAGAAAACCAAGTACCACATATTCTCACTTATAAGTGGTAGCTGAACAATGAAAACACATGGACACAGGGAGGGGAACAACACACATCGGGGGCTTATAGGGGGTGGGATCAGGGGAGGGAGAGCATCAGGAAAAATAGCTAATGCATGCTGGGCTTAATAACTGGGAGATGGGTTGATATGTGCAGCAAACCACCATGGCCCACATTTACCTATGTAACAAACCTGAGCATCCTGTACACGTACCCCAGAACTTAAAATCAAATAAAAAGAAATGGGTAGATACAACATTTTTACAGATTGGAAAACTCAACACTCTTAAGATGTTGACTCTTCAGCAACTGATCTGGAGAGTTAACAAAATTCTAATAAAAATTCTGACAGAAATTTTTGTGCATGATTTGACAATCTGATTATAAAATTTATGTGTAAAGACAAATACACCCAAAATCAGTTTTGAAAGAGGAGAACAATGTAGAAGGACTAACATTGTCTTGTTTCCAAATTAACTATTAAGTTACAATAATGAGGTAAGTGTAGTATTAGACAAAGGATAGAAATGTAGATGAGTATTGAGGGTATATAATACTATAAAGAGTCCAGAAATAGATCTACTCATGTATCATTCACTGATTATTTATTTATTTATTTATTTATTTATTTATTTATTTATTTTTATTATACTTTAAGTTTTAGGGTACATGTGCACATTGTGCAGGTTAGTTACATATGTATATATGTGCCATGCTGGTGCTGATCATTCACTGATTTTTGACAAAGGTACAGAAGCAATTCAGTGAAGACTAGTCTTCCACAAATGGCGCTGGAAAAATTGGGTTTCCATATGCAGAAGAAATAAAATGTAACCTCAATTTAACATTTAACACTCTACAACGAGTTCAAAGTGGATCACAGGCCTTAATATGTGTGTGAGTGCTAAAGATTCACCACGACATCTGTGGGGTCGTACAAGTCCCAGAAAAGGAGGCAAGGAAGTTATGTAGCAGCAAGGAGCTGAGGTGCTTTCAGTTGCACCCACTAAAGCTAGCTGAAGCCATCGCAGAACTGGTTCCTTCAGCTGTGGCTGAAATACCAGATGAGGCTGAGAGAACCTAAAATAGTGTGTCATAAGTGTCTCCTATAGATCTCAAGGGATGTGTTCTTCTACCAGGTGATGTAACAGTGGCTTCACTGGATTGGAGGTTAAGCCTACCACCCAGTCATTTTTTGGTACTCATGTAAGCCAATATACAAAGAATAGGGTTGTCATTCTGCCTAGTGTGATTGATATTGATTACCAGGGGAAAATTTGGTTGTTCTACACAACTGGAAAAGAGAGGCCCATGTCTAAAATCCTGGAGAATTATTTGGTTGCCACTTAGTATTTCCATGTGCATCAATAAAGTTTAAGAAAAAATATAACAACTTGAGAAAGCAAGGCTTATGGGATGCAGATTTCCTAGGGATGAAAGTTTGCACTGTTACCACTGTGTGGAGAATGTCACCCAGCTGATAATGGCCAAAAGAAAGGGGAACGTAGAACGGGTAGTGGAAGAAAAAAATATAAATGTCCACTGTGGCCTTGTGAGCCATTGTAGGGACAGGAAGAACATGGCATTAGGAGGTAATCTGACATAGGTGGAGAGCGGTTGGCACAATGGTAGTGATGAGTGCTATCAAGTTTTCCTAGAGAGAGAAGGAGATAAAAGTAACTAAGCGGGTGGGAATTTGGGTTTCTTTTTCTGTTTTGGCCTGAGGAAGAATTGAGCATGACCTGAGAGAGCTCATTTTTTCTTCTTTTCATCTCTTTTCTATGTATCTGCTTATGATTGAGTCACAGATGTCTGATCCTGGGGTATTTTTATGGGAAGCTGAGTTTTAGTGAGACGCTACCACCTGGATATCTTTACAAAGCATGTGTCTTTCATAGTGGTTACTCTGCTTAAAGACCATTACCTTTTTGTGTCAATTTATTGTGTAAATGTTATACGTCTAAGATATTTGAGGCCATTCACAGTCTTTTATGGCCATTCTTTTTCAAGTCCCAAAATGTAGGCTGCAGCCACACAGGGCTACTCTCCATTTCCTAAGCAGGCAGTGATTAAGCATCCATCCATGAGCTCCGTCCTCATGATAGCCCTAAATACAGTCAGGTGCGATCAGTGACTGATTACAGTGACAGATGACATGTACGGTAATTAGTTACTGCTGTAGGAGTCTGAGCAAATTTATTCTAGAGAGGTCCAGGGTAATTACTGTGTCTTTAATGAGTTACTCTGGAATCTGGATTCCTCTGGGATGCAGGGTCCCTGAGGCTCAGGGATGGGTAGAAGGGGAGATGTGAGAAGGAGTTGTCCAGACACAGGGGACAACTACAGAGACTGTTACTTTACGTGTCGTAATGGATAAAATGGAGCAGGATGTCAGGTCAGGACTGTGGAGTTACCTTGAGATGCTGGGTGAGTTGGGCAGAAGGGTGAATGAGCTGATTCTTGGTGTCCTTCCAGCCTGAGGGTCTTGATTTCCCAGGTGTAGGATGTTCTGCAGGATATTTTTTCAGTCATAATAACTTTCCTCTTTTCTATGTATTTGCCTCCCACGACTTTCCAACATTCCAGAAGTATTTTAACTAATGTTTTCCAGTTACAGTCATTGGTAATGATAGCACTTACAAATATTTCTTATTGTGCAATATATCCTCACAAGATCCTATCATTTTGGTATAATGACAGCTCTGTGAGGTATGCTTTAATGCAGTCATTCTCAAGCCTTGTTTTGTTTTAAAATTATCTGTGAAGCTTTACAGACAATTTTATGGTTCTCCAGAAGTCAGAACCATAAGCATAGTCTGTCTGTCTGTCTATCTATCTATTAACTAAATATCTATTTATCGTCTCTAATCTATCTCTCTACCTCTAGCTATCTATCATCTATCTATTGTCTATCATCTATCTGTCATCTATCATCATCTATCTATATCTATCTATCTCTAATCTATCTCTCTACCTGTATCTATCTATTATCTATCTATCTATCTATCATCTATCTATCTATCTATCTATCATCTGTCACCTATCGTCATCTACCTATCTCTATCATCTATCATTATCTATCTATCTATCTATCTATCTATCTATCTATCTATCTATCTATCTACCTATCTATATCTATCAAGGCAGAGAGAGAGAGAGATTCTTTTAAGAAATTGGCTCACAAGATTGTGAGCATGGGTAAGTCTGAAATCCACAGGGTAGGTAAGCAGTCTGGAGACCCAGGGAAAGAGTTGATGTTACAGTCTTGAGTCTGAGCAGTCTGAAGGCATAATTCTTTCTTCTTCAGGAGACTGTGGTCTTTTCTCTTAAGGCCTTCAACTAATTCTATGAGGCTTATCACATAATAGGGGGAGTCTGCTTTACTCAAAGTCTACTGATTTAAGCGTAAATCATATTACAAAATACCTTTACCACAACATCTAGAACTGGCATTTGACCAAAACTTGGTACCAGGGCCTAGCCAAGTGATAGACTGGATAAAGAAAATGTGGCACATATACACCATGGAATACTATGCAGCCATAAAAAAGAATGAGTTCATGTCCTTTGCAGGGACATGGATGAAGCTGGAAACCATCATTCTCAGCAAACTAACACAGGAACAGAAAACCAAACACCTCATGTTCTCACTCATAAGTGGGAGTTGAGCAATGAGAACACGTGGACACAGGGAGGGGAACAACACACAGCCGGGCCTGTTGGGGGGTTGGGGGCAAAGGGAGGGAGAGCATTAGGACAAATACCTAATCTGTGTGGGGCTTAAAACCTAGATGTCGGGTTGATGGGTGCAGCAAACCACCATGGCACATGTATACCTATGTAACAAATCTGCACATTCTGCACATGTATCCCAGAACTTAAAAATAAAAAAAATAAAAATTAACCATCACATGGGATATGAATATCTGAGGATGAACTCAAATGAGGGCTTGAGGTTGGAAATTATCCTTCTTCTTTCTGTTTGTCCCAACATTTATAAAATTATTATCATATTTGTTTTTCTCACACCAATTTCAATGACATGATGTAGATTTGAGCATAAGAATGTTTGGTTTGGGTCATTTGTATTTGTGAAAAGAGTAGTATATCTGAGATACCCTAATATTTTCCACGGGCACAAAATTACATTGGTGAAATCAGCAACAGAGTGTCAAAATGTAGTGTTAAATTGCTAAAGGTAATGAGTTCTTATTCCAGGAGGATTTAGTAGAAGTAGTTATTCTAACTTACTGGCCATTTGCTACCTTTTAAGTTGGAGGAATGCACGTTCCAGCCTGAGAGACAGCCAACAGCTATTTAGAAAACATCAGCAATATCTGGGCACCACGCCAAGTGCCGCAACTGTCTTGCTGCAGTTATGAAGGCAGACATGGCCTTTCAGGCACAGAGTTTACAGTCTGGTAAGGAAGTCAGCTGTCAACAGGTAGTCAAAGCATGGAGTGCTATTGGATGAGTATGAGATGCTGCGGAAGCATAGAAGCAGGTCTCACTTGGTTTACAGAGACACAGGGAAGGTTTAGCTGAGCAAGTTACATGTAATAGACCTGAAGGATAAGTGAGAATGAGCCGGATGAAGACAGGGCATAGCGGGGATAGGTGCTAGGTAGGAGGAATAGCAAGTATGAAAGGCTGGAGGCAAGAAATTATGACGTATAAGTCCAGCATTGCTGAAAAGAGGATGCAAGAGTCATTGTGGGGCCAGGTGAGGCTGTGGAGGCAGGTGTTGGTCAGGTAATGAAACATCCTTTGTGCTCTTGAAAGGAATTTTGCCTCTATCTTAAGAACAATGATAATCCACGAAATATTTAATCACAAGAGAGGGATGATCAGATTTTCATCTCAGAATGCCACAGTGTAAATGAAGATTGTTGGAAGAGAAGGTTGTTGAAACACAGGGGCAGGAAGATGAATTGAGAAGCAGTTTCAATAGTCCAGGTAATACAAGATTTCCACCTGGTTTAGGGTTGTGGTAGTTGGGATAAGGAGTGGATGAATTAGAAAGAGAATGAAGTGCAGAATCTGTAGGACTTGCTAGATTGGATATTGACTGTGAGAGAAATGAATTAATGAAATCAAACCTTAGGTTTCTGACTTGAGCCTGGATTCCATTCACCAAACATGAGAGAGTGGAGGAGGATGGAGTTAGAAGAGGAGCAGGGTGAGATCAGAATGTCATTTAGGATCTGTCAAGCCAAAGATGCCTGTGATCCATCCAAGAGATGTTAATCATTGAGACTCAGGATACTAAGTTCTGTATACTAGAGAACGCTACACCTGAACACCTGAGTTGTTTGTTTGTTTCTTTCTTTCTTTCTCTTTCTTTCTTTCTTTCTTTCTTTCTTTCTTTCTTTCTTTCTTTCTCTTTCTTTCTTTCTTTCTTCCTTTCCTTTCCTTCCTTCCTTCCTTCCTTCCTTCCTTCCTTCCTTCCTTCCTTCCTTCCTTCTTTCTTTCTTTCTTTCTTTCTTTCTTTCTTTCTTTCTTTCTTTCTTTTCTTTCTTTGACAGAGTCTTACTCTGTCACCCAGGTTGGAGTACAATGGCACAAACTTGGCTCACTGCAGCCTCTGCCTCCCAGGTTCAAGCAATTCTCCTGCCTCAGCCTCCTGAGTAGCTGAATTACAGGCACCCGCCACCACACCAGGCTAATTTTTGTATTTTTAGTAGAGACAAGGTTTCACCATGTTGGCCAGGCCGGTCTCAAACTCCTAGCCTCAGGTGATCCACCCACCTCAGCCTCCCAAAATGTTGGAATTACAGGTGTGAGCTACTGCGCCCAGCCTACACCTGAGTTTTAAATGGCAATTAAAGCCATTGGAGTAGATGTGTTTTTATTGGCCATTATGCAGAATTATAAAAAAAAAATGAAGTTTAGAAAAATCCCTGAGGAATATCAACATGTAAGATACTGACAGAGGAGGAGCCAACTGCAGTTACTGGTGAGGCAGGTAAGAGAGAAACCAACACACTTTATGTTTCAGAAGTAAATAGATGAGTATTTTAGAAAGGATGGAATATTGTTACATGTTAAAGATAAATGAAGAGAAAAAAGATAAAGTTAAGTCATTTCTGATTATAGAGATTCTAATTATAGATATTTGTGGTATAGAGATGATTATTATAATGTCAGTTAAATAATTTTCGCAGAACACTCAGCAGACCAAGTGTCACAGAAATATCTCCATTTTAAAATTCAGATTTTAAAGGATACTGTTGTTTTTCCATTAAAGATACTGGAGACAGAGCATGATGGGACAAAATCAAACCAGCATCTCAGACTTCCTGCTCCTGGGCCTGCCCATCCAACCAGAGCAGCAAAACCTGTGCTATGCCCTGTTCTTGGCCATGTATCTTACCACCCTCCTGGGGAACCTCCTCATCATTGTCCTCATTCGACTGGACTCCCATCTCCACACGCCTATGTATTTGTTTCTCAGCAACTTGTCCTTCTCTGACCTCTGCTTCTCTTCCGTGACCATTCCCAAGTTGTTACAGAACATGCAGAACCAGGACCCATCCATCCCCTATGCGGACTGCCTGACCCAAATGTACTTCTTCCTGTTATTTGGAGACCTGGAGAGCTTCCTCCTTGTGGCCATGGCCTATGACCGCTATGTGGCCATCTGCTTCCCCCTGCACTACACCGCCATCATGAGCCCCATGCTCTGTCTCGCCCTGGTGGCGCTGTCCTGGGTGCTGACCACCTTCCATGCCATGTTACACACTTTACTCATGGCCAGGTTGTGTTTTTGTGCAGACAATGTGATCCCCCACTTTTTCTGTGATATGTCTGCTCTGCTGAAGCTGGCCTTCTCTGACACTCGAGTTAATGAATGGGTGATATTTATCATGGGAGGGCTCATTCTTGTCATCCCATTCCTACTCATCCTTGGGTCCTATGCAAGAATTGTCTCCTCCATCCTCAAGGTCCCTTCTTCTAAGGGTATCTGCAAGGCCTTCTCTACTTGTGGCTCCCACCTGTCTGTGGTGTCACTGTTCTATGGAACCGTTATTGGTCTCTACTTATGCTCATCAGCTAATAGTTCTACTCTAAAGGACACTGTCATGGCTATGATGTACACTGTGGTGACCCCCATGCTGAACCCCTTCATCTACAGCCTGAGGAACAGAGACATGAAGGGAGCCCTGAGCAGAGTCATTCATCAGAAGAAAACTTTCTTCTCTCTCTGATGATAACACTTGGAGCTATTACATAGTTTATCCAGTAAAATATTGATATTAATATTGGAATATTATTCTAAATTATTTCCTCACCATCCTTTTGTTGAAATGGCATCGTACATAATTTTTCAATATGTAGTGGAGATGAAGCATAGCTGAGTAGTTGAACTAGGGAAGAGGGTCTTGGTGACCTGGCTAAGACTTCCTGTTTGTCTTCCCAAGGTGATCTTGGAAAAATGTAGTTTAAGAACAACTGTTTTAAATGGTCTTCATGCCCCACATTCTTAAATTATCACAGGATTTTGTTATGTTACTCAGAATTTTGCTTTGATTGTAGAATCATTTTTGTTTAATTAAAAAAATTTTTAAATTTTTTGTTTATTTTTATTTTCTATTTCGCACAGGGTCTCACTCTGTTGCCCAGGCTGGAGTGCAGTGGCACAATCGTGGCTCACTGTAACCTCAACCTTCTGGACTCAAGGGATTCTCCTGCCTCAGCCTCCCAAGTAGCTAGGACTACAGGCATGCACCACTACGCCCAGCTAATTTTAAGATTTTTTTGTAGAGATGAGGTCTCCCTAAGTTTCTCAGGCTGGTCTTGAATTCCTGGCCTCAAGTGATCCTCCCACCTTGGACTTTCAAAGTGCTGGGATTACAGGTGTGAGGCACCATGCCTGGCTTGTGGAATCATTTTATTTTTATTTATTTATTTATTTATTTATGAGACTGAGTCTTGCTCTGTCACCCAGGCTGGAGTGCAATGGCATGATCTTGGCTCACTGCAACCCCCGCCTCCTGGGTTCAAGCAATTCTCCTGCCTCAGCCTCCCGAGTAGCTGGGATTACAGGCAAATGCCACCACGTCGGGCTAATTTTTATATTTTTAGAGATGGGGTTTCACCATGTTGGCCAGGCAGGTCTTGAACTCCTGACCTTGTGATCCGCTCACCTAGGCCTTCCAAAGTGCATGGATAGAATCATTTCTAAATAGTGCTCTATAATCTTAGGTTAGTGCTAAATAAGATCTAAACAGCTTAACCTCCCAGCCGCCCTTTGAGTGTCTCCTACATATTCTCCCTGCACAAATTTTCACACCATTTTACCTCTTCTCCCTCCTCCTGATTTATTTTCACATCTCCATAGACTTTTCTCACCTGGTCTGACCTTCAATACATTTTTCTAACACTTTTACTACAACGGTGTATTTCGTCTTTACCTGGAATTAACTAATACCCTGAGGCCCTAAAATTTATTTCACCAGGAAAGAAGCTAGTTGCTGGTAAATTTAAAAAAGCTCAGTTTTAAGGAATGTCTATCTTCTGGCCAGGCGTGATGGCTCACACCTGTAATCCCAGCACTTTGGGAGGCTGAGGCAGGTGGATCACAAGGTCAGGAGATCAAGACCATCCTGGCTAACACGGTAAAACCCTGTCTCTACTAAAAATACAAAAAAATAGCCGGGCGTGGTGGCGGGCACCTGTATCCCAGCTACTCGGGAGGCTGAGGCAGGAGAATGGCGTGAACCTGGGAGGCGGAGCTTGCAGTGAGCCCAGATTGCGCCACTGCACTCGAGCCTGGGTGACAGAGCAAGACTCCTTCTCAAAAATAAATAAATAAAATAAAATAAATAAAAAGAATGTCTCTCTTCTGTTTGGTATTTTGGATGTTACAAAATAACTTCATATTTCTATTTGTATTTTACCCTCATGACAGATCCCAGGAAGTAGAGAAGATGCTAACACTGTGTTACATGCTGAAAAGTACGTAGCTCAGCAACTTTCTACATCACACAGTGTGTCAATTGTTGAGCTTTTATAAAATTCCAGACTATCTGATTCTGCAGTTTATTCTCATTTTCTCTCACTTTAGAAAGAAAGGGAGCAGCCATTCATAGGAGTGTGAATTAGTTCAACCATTGTGGAAGACAGTGTGGCGATTCCTCAAGGATCTAGAACCAGAAATACCATTTGACCCAGCAATCCCATTATTGGGTATATGCCCAAAGGAATATAGATCTTTTTAAAACTCTTAACTCCACTTGTGGCGTAAGTTTCCAACATTGGTCAATTTGTATTCTTTATTATTATTATTATTATTATTATTATTTATTTATTTTTTTTTTAAATAAGTCTCGCTCTGTTGCCCAGGCTGGAGTGCAATGGCATCATCTCGGGTAACTGCAACCTCCGCCTCCTGGGCTCACATGATTCTCCCACCTCTTGGGCTCACGCGATTCTCCCACCTCAGCTTCCCGAGTAGCTGGGACCACAGGCACCCCCCACTCCTGCCCCACCTCTCCACGCCCAGCTAATTTATATATTTTTAGTAGAGATGGAGTTTCACCATGTTGACCAGGGTGGTCTCGAACTCCTGACCTCAAGTGATCTGCCCACCTCGGCCTCCCAAAGTGCTGGGATTACAGGCGTGAGCCACTGCGCCCCACTCAGTTTGTATTCTTAGTTGTGCCCTCTAAGTGATGTGATCCAAGCCCATCACTTTCATCCTTCTGTATGTTCTGCCGACCTCCACAGCTCTATCTGAAGCCCAGCCTTTCTCCAGAACTTCCAACTGTTCTTCTTATCTGCCTAATAGATACCTCTTCTTGAGACTCTATGGGCAGTTCAGTTTCAACACGCACAGCATTAAACTTTTCATGTTCCATCCAAGTCTCTTCTTTGTCATTGATCCCATATTGGTATTTATGATGTCTCCTCCCATCCAGTTACCTGACCAACCACTTCTATATGTGTATATATACCATTTTGAATTTCACCTTTTTCATTTAATATTTCCTGAAATACTTTATTAATCTCCATATGGTCATTAGGGTAACACCAGTTTCTCAGTGCATAATACATCAGAGGTATTAGAGGCAGGAAAAAAGATTGATCTTTAAATCACTTTCCTTTATGCCAGAAAAACCCAATTTAAAAATCAATAAAAAATGGATTTAATTCTTAATAGCAAGTAAAGGTAAGTACAAGAACTAAGGAAGAAACCTTTAAAAATTTAATAAAAGGTATAAAAGATACTACAAGAAATGAACATATATAATGACTCTGGAAAGGGTACCTCAATTTTAACAGTTTTTTAAAGATTAATTTTTATGCAATAAAATCAGTCTAATTAAAACTGTACCACTTAATATGTTTTGAAACCTCAGTACTTTCACAAAAGCAACTCTACTCAAATACATTCAATGCAATCCAAATAAAATTCCCAGTGGAATTATTTTTGTGGAGATGGACAAGTTTATTCTCAAGTTCTCTTGAAAGACAAAAAGGTAAAATTTATAAGAAATATTTGAAAAATAGGAACCATAAATTCGTTCTTTTTCTACCAAGTATCAATACATATTTGAAAAAACCCAATAATTAAAACAGTATGTATTTATTCAGGAATTGACAAAAAAGATCAATTGAGTGAAAAGAACATTAAAAATAGTCCTGTGTATGTGAGGATTTATTTTGTAATTAAGAAAATCAATGGGAGAAGAGATACACTACCAGGGAAATTGACATGGGAAAATATTAAATGAAATTTTTACAGTACAAGTAAATTATATTTTAGATGGCTTAAAAAGCTAAACTTAAACTACAATCTACAAAAATACTCTAATATAAAAAATATTTATAATTTATGCAAAACTCAGAGGATTTATTTTGTGATTAAGAAAATCAATGGGAGAAGGGATATACTACCGGGGAATTGACATGGGAAAATAGTAAATGAAATTTTTACAGTACAAGTAAATTATATTTTAGGTGCCTTAAAAAGCTAAACTTAAATTACAATCTATAAAAATACTCTAATATAAAATAATATTTATAATTTATGCAAAACTCAGAAGCTGTATAAAAATGTTGACATATTTGACCAGATAGAAATAGGAAAGTTTTCTGGGACAAAAGATAACAGAAATTTGAAAAAGAAGTAACAGGCTATAACATGTCTAATAAACACGAGATTGAAATTTAAAATATACAAAGAGCTCCTATAATCTAATAAAAATAAAACACAACTGAATAAAAATGTACAAAGAATATTAACAGAAAATTCATAAAGAATAAACAATATAAGAAGACGTTCAGCTTTAGTGTTAACCAGGAAAAAAACTTGAAAAAGGCTGGGTGCGGTGATTCACACCTGTAATCCCAGCACTTTGGGAGGCTGAGATGGGCGGATCACTCGTGGTCAGGAGTTCAAGATGAGCCTGGTCAATACAGTGAAACCCTGTCTCTACTAAAAATACAAAAATTAGCTGGGCGTGGTGGCACGCACCTATAATCCCAGCTACTCAAAAGGCTGAGGCAAGAAAATTGCTTGAACCCAGGAGGCGGAGGTTGCAGTGAGCTGAGATAGTGCCACTGCACTCCAGCCTGGGCATTGCAGTGAGACTGTGTCTCAAAAACAAAAACAAAACAAAGCAAAGCACAACAAAACAAAACAAACAAACAAAAAAACCGTTGAAAAACAATAAGGGATTATTGAATGACCACATACTTGGAAAATTTAGAAATGATTGACCTTCTATGGTAATAGCAATGATGTGGGAATAGGGGACTTTTATGTCATGTAACCTCTACCCCAATCCAAATCTAGAATAACTCCATCACTTCATAATTCAATGTGTACCCTTGCAATTAAGCTCTTCCTGCCACTAATCTGATTTTTATCTATCTGATTTATATCACTGCAAATGAGATTTGCCTGCTTTGAACTTCACATAAGTGGAATCATTTAGTATGTACTCTTTGTATCTGGCTACTTCAGCTCTGCATAATGTTTTGTAGATTTCATCATGTAATTGTGTAGATCAGTGACTTTTTTATTACTGAGTAGTATTCCATTGTATAAAGACACCGTGATTTGTTCATTCTTTCACTTTTGATAGTTTTGGGGATGTATCCAGTTTTAGACCATGAATTGTTGAAAAATGCTATCATTTTCCCTATTTAATTATCTGGGTAACTTGTAGAAAGTCAGTTGACCATATATAGTTGGATCTATTTTTTTTAACTTTTAAGTTCAGGGGTACATGTGCAGGTTTGTTACACAGGTAAACTTGTATCATGGGGGTTTGTTGTACAGATTATTTCATCTCCAAGATATTAAGCCTAGTACCCATATGTAATTGTGTAGATCAGTGACTTTTTTATTACTGAGTAGTATTCCATTGTATAAAGACACCGTGATTTGTTCATTCTTTCACTTTTGATAGTTTTGGGGATGTATCCAGTTTTAGACCATGAATTGTTGAAAAATGCTATCCTTTTCACTATTTAATTATCTGGGTAACTTGTAGAAAAATAACCCTAGTTATTTTTCCTGATCCTCTCCCTCCTCCCATTCTCTACCTTCCAATAGTCCCCAGTGTGTGTTGCTCCCCTCTGTGTCCAGGTGTTCTCCTATACACCAACAACAGTCAAGCAGAGAGCCAAGTCAGGAATCCACTCCCATTCACAACTGCCACAAAAAGAATAAAATATCTGTGAATACAGCTAACTAGGGAGGTGAATGGTCTTTACAAGGAGAACTACAAACCACTGCTCAGAGAAATCAGAGATGACACAAATGAGCGGAAAAACCTTCCATGTTCATGGATAGGAAGAATAAATATTATTAAAATGGCTATATTGCCCAAAGCAATTTATAGATTCAGTGTTATTCCTATAAACTAAACTAAACATTGACATTCTTCACAGAACTAGAGAAAACGATTTTAAAATTCATATGGAGCCAAAAAAGAGCCCAAATAGTCAAGGCAATCTAAAGCAAAAAGAGCAAAGCTGGAGGCATCACTTCAAACTATACAGCAGGGGTACAGTAACCAAAACAGCGTGGTACTGGTACAAAAACAGACACATAGACCAATAGAAGAGAATACAGAACCCAGAAATAAGATTGCATACCTATAACTATCTGATCTTCAACAAAGCTGTCAAAAACAAGCAATGGTGAAAGAATTCCATATTCAATAAATGGTGCTGGGATAACTGGCTAGCCAAATGTGGAAGATTAAAACTGGACCCCTTCCTTACACCATATACAAAAATTAACTCAAGATGGTTGGTTCTGTTTCTGGATTCTATTCTGTTCTATTGATCCATATGTTTCCTTCTTAACTTATTCTTACTAAAATGTTAAAATCATTCTATCTCTGTCATATCATTTTTTCCTGATATATTTTTTATACCTATATTGTCTTTTCCAACCTGGCCTTACCCTAAAACAATCTTTTTATTTCCTTTATTATAGCAGTGAATTTTGGTCTCTGTAATGCTGTTTGCCTTAAATTCAACTTTGTTATTAAAAGATAAAGCATGCTATCTGCATTTATTACCATAACACATATTTTTCTTTATTATTGTTAAATAAATTTTTACATACCATCCTTTTAATATTATGACTTTTAAATTCTCGAGTTTTTAATTTTGACTAATTCCTTGGTTGGTTGCATTGCATCAAGTCATTTTTAAAGGACTAGTACATCCATGTTATATTTATTGAATTTTCACATATTTTAGATTTTTCTTTTGCATATGTATTTATATATCTGAAGGATGACTTAGCTAGGTATAAAATTTGTGGACATCTGTTCTCTCATCTATAACTCATTTTCTGAAATAGCTGTGAAAAAATCTGAAGTAAGGCTGATATTCTCTCTTTTCTCTACTTCTTATATGGTCATCTTTCCCCCCACTGATGCATGTAGGATTATTTTTTCATCAGTCTATATTTTTGTATTTGCTGACTTTTATTATAATTTTTTATAGCACAAAAGTTTCCTTTTGATTTTCAAGTCTGCACTTGCATTTCTAAACAGTTTTCTGCTATTATATCTGGAACATCATCGTTTCTTTTTTTCCTTATTCTGCACTTTAGTAAGACCAAGAATTTTGTAGCAAGTTTGAAGTTTATATGCCACAATCAATATACACGAAATGAGAGATTTGTTTTTAAAAATAAAAATGGAAAACAAAATTTATAATATTATAATTATGTAAATATTACCACTTCAGAAGCAAGATGTATGATTGAACTCATAGATTTAAAAAAAAATCCTACATTATTAAACCTGTGATAGTCAGAGCAAAGGTTACAAGCTTAATGTCAAATTAGTTTCCCTTTCTCACACTCCATAAATTTCTCAAATCAGGCCACATTCCATTTGCTCATTTTTGTAGCATATGTCAATTTCTCTCTGTTCCTCCCTCCCTCCCTCTCTTTCTTATTTATACTCTCCCCAACCCTATTTCTTTCTTTTTTATTCTTTTTTAATGGCTGAGCCTCTTGAGATAATGTTCAGACATCAAGACACTTCATCACTATATAATTTAGAGTTCTGAATCTCCTCAAAAGAACATTCTCGTATGTAACTACAATGTCGTTGTTATGTACGAGTCATTCAGTGCTGCTAGCAGAGACTTAGATGGTAGGTCCAGGGCAAGCAATCCACTGCTGAGTTCAGAGGCACTGAAGCTGTTTGAAGCATTGAAGAATCCTCGCTGGGAGCAGTGTACATTATACCTGGTATTATAGTTGATAAAGAATAAAGGGAGAGCAAAATCTTTTAATAGGATTACCTAGGGGTCCTATAATTTCCATTTTATTGCCATTTAGAGAATTAAAGAATGTTCTCATCCAGAGAGAGGATAAGATACAGCCTTGGCTGACTCTAACACATTTTGTTAAAGATGTAGCTTTTTATTTTATTCTGAGCTTTGATCAGGAACTGGTATTGATTTTTTAAGAAGCCTTTTTGCCTCTGATGAGGTAATCCTAAATGTTTAAATTGAACATATTAGTGTGATTTCAAATATGAAAAGATGGGATTATTTGTGCTTTAGACATCATTTTGATATCAATTTTCACAGATAGAACTGGTCTATAATTGTATTCGTGTCTTGTATTTTTCTTCTTTAGTAAATTAGCTATTTTAATTTTACTTAATTTTTGGTTCTGGAATGAATTATATAGAGCCTGGGGATTATTCCTTGAGCGTCTGAAAAGGGGAGTATTTGGTCCTTGAAATTTTGAAAAACCCAGAAAGCTTCCTCACCCAAGGATTTTTTTACTGTAATATAATTTAAATATAGTGCACGAATCTTAAGTGTACAGCTTGCTGAATTTGACACCCGTGTGACCACTGTACAGATCAAGATACAGAGGATTTATGTCACTTCAGAAATTTTCCTTGTGCCCCCTCCTCGTGAGTCCCCACCCACATCCAGAGGTAATGACTACTCTGGTTTCTACTGCCAGAGAGAAATTTGCCAGCTCATGAACTTTGAATAGATGGAATCATACAATATTTTTTTTTCTGGATTCTTTTACTCATCATAATGTTTTAAAGATTTATCTATGTCGTGTGAATCATCAGAGTTCAATCTTTTTCACTGCTACATAGTACACCATTGAAATGATTATGCCACCGTACTTATTCTTTCTGCTGATGAACATTTGGGTTTTTCAGTTTTAGCTACTATGACTGAAGCCTCTGTGAGAATTCTAATACACATCTTTTGTTTTCATTTATTTTGGGTACTTCAGGAGCAAAATTTCTGGGCTGTAGGCTGGGTAAATATTAAAACTTTGGGCACTGCAAATAGTTTGCAGAACAGTTTTATTCTTTTACATTCTTACTAGCAATATATGAGGGTGTTAATTTCTCCACATCCTTGCTAACATTTGATACTATCAATCTTTTGTTTCTAGCTATTCTGATGGGTATGTAGTAGTATCTTACGATTTTAATTTGTATTTCCCTGATGAATAATAATGTTGAATATGTTTTCATATGCTTGTCGGCTTCGAGACTTTCATTAGAGATAATTTTTTGGCTTATTTTATATTATTAGTCTAAGTTTTCCCTCCTCAAATATTTATTTTAATGGTCTAGTCAGACATTGTATATATTGAGCCAGGTTTTGCAGTTTGTCTTTGCGTAGAAGTCTTATTTTGATTTTTAAATTTACTTGAGAAGTTTTAGAAAGATTTAAAAAATCTTCCTTTGTGATTATATTCTTTTTAAAAGTGCTTGCCATGTAACAGTTCCTCACTAAATGTTAGCTTTATTTTTATTTTTTTTGAGACAGAGTCTCACTCTGTCGCCTAGGCTGGAATGCAGTGGTACAATCTCGGTTCACTGCAACCTCCACCACCTTGCGGGTTGAAGTGATTCTCCTGCCTCAACCTCCCCAGTAGCTGGGATTACAGGCGCCCTTCACCACACTCAGCTAATTTTTGTATTTTTAGTAGAGACAGGGTTTCACCATGTTGGCCAGGCTGCTCTTGAACTTCTGACCTCAGGTGATCCACCTGCCTCGGCCTCCCAAAGTTCTGGGATTACAGGCGTGAGCCACCATGCCCGACCAGCTTTTATTATTTTTATTGCAAGAATTTCCATTACAACCTTGCAATAGTGAAAAATTAGAAAAACATAAATATTTATTAATAAGGGAGTGATTAAACTGTGGAAGATCCACAGTATAGGATTGTATAGCATGAAGTTAAGAATGAAGGCATTCTATTTGTGGTAATAAGACAAGATCTTCTAGATGTATTGTTTCATAAAAAAAGGAAACTGAAGAATAATAGATATAAATAGAATGACACTATTTATGTTTCAAGATCAGAATAATATATATAAATAGAATGACACTATTTGTTTCAAAATCAGAGCGAGAGAGCAAGAGTGAAGGTGAGAGCAAGAGTGAAGGTGAGAGCAAGAGATTCAACTGATAATTGGGATGGCGGTAGAGGTTGATTTGGGTGGTAGTCAAACAGAACTTCAACTCTGAATTTTTACATTAAAAATGGTTGATACAGTATCTAGGAAAAGAATTTAAATTATTTTAAGCCACTTAAAAAATAACTGGATCTTGAAGTTTCTCCAGGAGGAGTCTGCAGGGGCATCCAACAACAAACACCTCTTTAAGATCCTCCCCTGGGCTGGATGCGGAGGCTCACGCCTGTAATCCCAGCACTTTGGCAGGCCCAGGCAGGGGGATCACTTGAGGCCAGGAGTTCGAGACCAGCCTGGTCAACATAGTGAAACCCTGTCTCTAGTAAAGAAAACACAAAAAAAATTAGCCGGGTGCGGTGGCAGGTGCCTGTAATCCTGGCTACTTGGGAGACTGAGGCAGGAGAATAGCTTGAACCCGGGAGGCGGAAGTTGTAGTGAGCCGAGATGGCACCACTGCACTCAGCGTGGGCGCCAGAGGGAGGCACTATCTCAAAAAAAAAAAAAAATTATCCATTGCTTCACAGGCTTCCCGTCCACCCACCGGGTTCCTGCTAGTCACACTCTTTCTTCTCCCTCTTCACAAACTATTTGTCTACCTCCATTTGCTGTCTTTTCATTTACCCAAAATTTAAAAGTAGAATCTATCTCACACATTCAGATAACACACGAATTCAACCTACTATGTATCTATCACTACAGTAAACACTTTGTCATATTTACTTCGGGTCTAATTTCTTATTTAACAGAAATAAGACAGGGTAGATCGAAATTAATAGTGCTTTAGAAAGCCAAAAAACAAGGTTTTTTTTTCTGTAACTGTTATCATGAAAATGCCAGTGAGCCAGATTTGCCCTCACGCCTCTTGGGGTGCAGCCCTCCATCTGAGCCCCCTTTTCAGGGCGCCCTTGACCTCTTTGTTGCGAAGGCTGTTGATGAAAGGGTTCAAGGTCGGCGTGATGACAGCGTAGACCACGCTGGCCAGGCGGTCGTAGCGGGCTGAGTAGGCAGACGACGGCGGGAAATACACGGAGAGGACAGAGCCAAAGAAAAGCGCCACCGCCACCGCCACTAGGTGGGCCCCGCAGGTGGAGAAGGCGCGGCGCCGGCCGCCGGCAAGCCGAGCACCGCGACCAGGATGCGCGCGTAGGAAAAGGAACACGAGGAGCAGCGGGGCCAACACCACGGCCAGGCCCTCGGAGAAGATGGCCGTCTCCGCGGCGGACGTGTCCGAGGTCGCCAAGCTCAGCATCACCGTCATGTCGCAAAAGAAGGGGCGCACGGGGGTGGGGTAGGGGTAGGAGAGCGCGGAGAGGAGCAGCGTGTGCAGCAGCGAGTGCAGGTGCGTCACGGCCCACGACGCACGCACCAGCGAGGCGCAGCGCCATGGCGTCACCAGCGCGCCGTAGCGCAGGGGCCGGCACGCCGCCGTCGGGCGGTCGTAGGACATGGCCGCCAGGAGGTAGCTCTCGGTGATGCCCAGAGCCACGAAGAAGTACATCTCGGCAAAGCACGCCTGGAAGGATATGGCCTGGCCCGGGTGGAGCAGGCCGGCCAGCAGCCTGGGGACCGTGACGGTGGTAAAGCAGACGTCCACGAGGCTCAGGTGACCCAAGAAGTAATACATGGGGGAGCGGAGGGCCCCGTCGGATCTCACCAGCGCCACCATGCTCAGGTTGCTCAGGGCGTTGAGCAGATAGATGCCAAGGCAGAGCAGGAACAGCAGCGGGTGGGCGTCTGTTCCGTCCACCAGGCCGAGGAGGAGGAACACGGGGGCAGATGTGAGGTTGGTCGGAGCCATGGAGTGGACTGACAGGTGGGAATGCCGAGGGGAGGGAGGAGGCAGCCGGCCGAAATTCTAGAACTCCGGGTAGACTTCCTGCATGTTGAGGTTCCAGATATACATTTTAATATATGTTTATAAATATACAAATTTCTGCTTGCTAAATGGATTGAAAATCACGTTGCTCATCCAATAATCTTAATTTTATGAAGAAACGGAATCTCAGAAGAGTGTTCTAGCGTAGTGGGTAACTCTCAGACTTTGGTGTAGGTCAGACCTGCTTTGAATCCTGGCTCTACCACAAAGGTGTTGAGACCTTTCTGAGCCTCAGTTTCTTCTTCTTTAATGAGGAAAATATTAGTGGCTACCCATGGAATTGGTTGTTGGATACAGTGAATAAGTTTAAAATACTTCGCACAGTGCCTGGCATATAATAAGCACTCAAAACTCCTCTATCATCTATCTATCCAAACTCCTCTATCTATCTATCTATCTATCCTCCTCTATCATCTATCCATCTGTCTTTGCTGTCTATGTGATCTGTGTATCATCTGTGTAATCTATCTAACATCTATTTACTTAATCATCATTATTTGTTTAAACAATTAGGAGCAGAATTCGGACCCAGGCCATTTGAGTACCAGTCTAAATTTCTTCATAAAGCACCTTACTGCATTTACCATTCATTTGTTGACCACACATTATATGGTTCTTCAGGAATTGACAAGATTTATTTATTTATTTATTTATTTTGAGACGGAGTTTCACTCTTGTTGCCCAGGCTGGAGTTCAATGGCATGATCTCAGCTCACCGCAACCTCTGCCTCCTGGGTTCAAGCAATTCTCCTGCCTCAGCCTCCCGAGTAGCTGGGATTACAGGCATGCGCCACCACGCCCGGCTAATTTTGTATTTTTTTTAGTAGAGACCGGGTTTCTCCATGTTGGTCAGGCTGGTCTCGAACTCCCGATCTCAGGTGATCCACCCGCCTTGGCCTCCCAAAGTGCTGGGATTACAGGCGTGAGCCACTGTGCCTGGCCAGACAAGCTTTTTTTTTTGGTAAAGAATCATATAGTTAATATTTTAGGCTTGTGGTCCATATGGTCTTGTTGCAACAACTCAGCTCAGAAGTTGCAGTGCAAAAGCAGCCATCAACAAAAAGTAAATGAATGGCCACAGTACTGTTCCAATAAAACTTTATTTGCAAAACAGGTGGTGGTCTGGATTTGGACAATTTGCTGACCCCTGTACTAGATACTGTAGAGAGCAGGAAGATGAATGAGTCTTAGCTTCTGCCCCCAAACAGTTTGACGTGCAGTAGCTTGCAGCATGTTTAATACTTTATTAATTTCATGAACCAAGCAGGAGTAAATTATTCTTCCTAGAGAAATTTGGGAAGAATTCAAAGAAGAGGAGAGACTTGAACTGGGTCTTGGTGAATGAATCAGGTTCACCAAACAGACATGATGTTGTGTGGGACAGGGAGGGCATTGCAGACTGCATGAAGAGATTGTGTGGAGTTGTTGGCAGAGGAGGCATGGAGTGAAGAGAGTAAAACATCCGCACATGACACTGGGAAAGGCTTGTCCTTGCTCTGTCCTCAGTGCACAAAATCAACTGGAGAAAACACTTTTAAATTTCTCAGTTAACCAAGTGACTTCAGTTATCTCAGAAACAATGTACTCATTTTGTCCCCCATTTAATCTCTTCCTTAAAACACCACATTCTTTTCTCCCATTGCTCCAAGGTTTCTAGCAGTGTTCAACCAATCTAGCACACCTACCCTTTGCCAGGAAAGCTCCAGGCTTTGGTGAAATCCTGGAGGATGGACTAAGTCAGGTCTTAGCAGGGAAGCTCCTTGCAGGAAGGAGCTACATCTCACTGTCTTGTGCAGTGATCTGTATATAATATTTATTCAATAAATATTTGTATACAATATTTATTCAATAAATATTGTATACAATATTTATTCAATAAATATTTGTATACAATATTTATTCAATAAATATTTGTATACAATATTTATTCAATAAATATTTGTTGAATGAAGCTTTTGGAAGAGCAATGAATGAAAACAGAGGTGAAGGGACCGTGAAGGAGAGGGTGATGGACAAACTCCAAGGCAAACTGCTGTCAACTTCCTAAGGTAACCAGATATATAACATTTTTTATATTTTGCTGCTTCTCTATCATTGTCACCCAGTTGCCGTCCCAGGGAAATCATCTGCTATGCCCCTTCCAACCCCACCCCTTGCCCCAGTATAGAGTAGTAGCATCAGAGAGCCAGGACCTTGGCACCCCTCCAATCCATTCTCTTCAGTTGTAGGATTCTTCTCAACTGACTCCTAACCTGCACTCCCCAAACTCCTCTTAGGCAGGTTGTGTGATGCAGTGAGAAGAGCACTAGCTTTAGAGCCACCTGGATTTTCATCCTGACTGGCTGTGGAAACGTGGACCCACTTCATTTCCTCTTCAGTCTCTTCATCTATAATGGGGATATTGAGGCCTCTCTTACACGGTTGATGTCAAGATTAAAGAGGTAATGCACATACAGAAGTGTAGCAGGGAACGGATGCTAATAGATGTTAGTTCCTTTTTCCTCAGCTTCTGATGGTTTCTCTCTGTTCCCTGATGGCTTCTTGAGATAGGCCAGTCCAGCGCTGGAGGACTGTAGTTGTTTAAGTCTTTTTCTTAATCTCAGCTGAAGTCTGCTTTCCTGTGACTTCTACAAATGATTCCAATTTTGGCCTCAGAGCTACACATGCCAAGCCTGCTTTCTCTGCAGCTTTTCACATAGTGGCCAAAGGAACCTATTCCACTATTCTTTTCTTCAACCCAAACACCCCTAGTACCTTAGATCTTTTCTTATAGAGCCATATTTTTAGGTCCTTTTCCATTCTGGTCACTCTCTGCTTTGTCCATGTTAACAGGAGTTGGACACAATGCTCTAGCCGTATGATGGCTCAGCCGTACAATTCATGCCCCTTTATTGAGTGCCTTTATTGGGTCCGGCATTGTGCTGGGTTCCGGGGCTCTGAAGAAAGGCCAGTCGTTGTCCTTGACCTCCAGCTAGGCACAATGTAATAAGCACTACACTAACTGCATGAACAAAGTGGGAGTGGTTTCCTCTGCTAGACGATTTGGAGAAGATTCCAAAGAATAAGTGGAATTCGAGCTGATTTTGGAAGAATGAGTAGGAGACCACCAGATATACAGATGCTTGGGAGTGGAAAGGGCATTTCAGGCAGGGGAAAGAGAATGTGAAGGTATAAGAAGATGTTTTGTGGGTTGCTTAGAGCTAAAATGTGGCCTCTTCCTCCCTAGTGCTGTAAGGCAGAGTTTGGACGTGGGGTCAGGGAGGAAAATAGGACATGAGGAAAAGAAGATAGCAGAGAAATGTTGGGTTTTCTCACCTGAAGGGCAGCATGCCAGAACTCAGTACTCTCTGCAGAGATTGTTGGCTGGTCTCCCTCCCAGCCAGAGGTACCCAGTCTTGAAGGCAAATGTGTTGTCATCCATCTCAGCCCAGAGACTTCAGTGGGTTTCCTGTGGGCTGAGACAGAAGCTGTATATAGAGAGAACGCCACAGCTATAAGGGCTCTGGGAATTCCTGAGCCATAGTTTTCCCACTCAACTTTACTTTCCTGCCAGTTTCCCTCTTGCCTACTGGATGCAGGGCTGAGCCGTTTGCACTCATACAAATATCCCGTTGCCTGTTAGATAGAGTGCCGGTGGCTCAGCCACACATCCAGAGCTTTCCAGCATGGCCCCCTCCTTCTCACATGCCTTCCCTGTATGCTCCTCCCTACCTGAAATACTCTTCCTACCCTATCCCAGTACCCCGCCCAGCTCCACTCCTCCAGGAAACCCCACCTCCTTTCTTGACTTCCCAGCCCACACGAACACCTCACTCCTGCTTCTTGTATCTCTCATTGGGAACTTGGCCCTCATTTGCTGGTATAAAGTGAGGATTTCTTTTCTGTTTTTTGTTTTGTTTTTGTTTTTTCTGTAATGCTGATCTTCCCTGCTAGATGATGAGCCTTCTGAAGACAAATGTTTGTCTTTCCTCATCTGACCTCAGGCTCGGCACAAGGTTTTGTCCTAACTTTCCTGGCAAAGTCAGGGAAGACTCCACAGAAGAGGTGGCATTTGAGCAGGGCGAGCTTGAAGGACAAGGCATTCAGTGGACACATAGGAGTAGGAGAGAATTCTAGAAAGAATTCCTTTCCACGTACAAAGGAAATACAAGAGAAACTCCAGGAAGCTTCTTAACCTCTTTGAGCTTCATTTTTTTTTCTCCAAAAGTAGGATAAAAATACCATCCTCACAGTTTGCTTATAAACACTTTGCAAATAGTAGGTGCTTCATAAATGTCAGTTTCCTTCCCCATCTCCTGACGACTTCAGGCGATGGGGAGATATGATGACTGAGTTTGTGTCAGCTCCTGTTGAAACACGAGGCACAGGGCTGGGCTCCCTGGATGCTGAGCTGCTGTTGTGGACACATAGCCCTTTCCTCAGGCCCAGGTCAGGCAGGTGTCTGCTTTGAATTGGGCAGGAAGGATTGATTATTTAAGGTCGCAAAATGAGGCAGGGATGCTTAGGATCTAGAATTTAAAAAAAAAAAAAAAACCCTATGTTTGAGGCAGCTCACTGCCTTCAACTCCATGCTAAAATGGTCACTTTTGGAGCGCACATTCAGATGCCCCAAGACACGGAAGTGCACAGGGATACACGCTTGCACACAGACACACACGGATGTATCCCGATATGTCCAGGCACACAGACATGCCAGAGACACGCACACCCACCGGGACAGGAATATATGAATATATGGGCACATACAAACACTCAGTCCCTTACACACAGACGTAGACACCTACAGAGATCCGTGCACTAGAGAAAAACATAAATCATATATGCCACATACACATGCAACACCCAACAAAGATGCCCTGCCCCCAAACAAATGCCAGAGACATAAAACCTCAATAGATGCTCCCAGACACACTGAGGCACACACGTGAATCTTACACGCAAACATCCACATACCGGTTCCCTCCTTCCTCTCGCTCTCTCTTGCCTCAAGTCCGCCTGCCTCAACAGAGTGGAGAGTGGGCAGTGGTAAACAGGGAAACCATCAGTGGCCCCCACGCTCTCAGGCCTGGGGGTTTCTATCCAATTCCTTAAATCCAGTCTCTCCTTGGCCAGCCCAGATTCTTCTCTTGATGGTGTGCCCAGTAGCTTTCTCTTTAACCACAGTCTTAGTCCTGGATGAGCCCTTTGTATTCCAAGGATCTCTTCTCCTCTACTTCCTTCTGCCAACTTCTTACTCATTTGTCTTCAATAATGTATTCAAACATCTTAACTGTTGTATCTACTCCATGCCAGGCAGGTACTTGAGCACTGGTGGGGGAGGCATTCGGAGATGAGTAAGACAAAGACAAAGAACTCACCATTCTATCCTGGTATCAGGCAGCTGGCAATGATTCCTAGATATCATTCCACCCAACACCCATGTCATAGACAGGGAAAGCAGCACCCGGAGAACTGTGTCTGCAGTCGCTCAGTAATCAGGGGATCAGTCAGAGTCCAGATCCTGGGCTCCGAACCCACCTATGGTTCATCCACTTCCCTGTGCTGCGTGCCACACGTTGGCAGGTCGTTCTCGTGTATTGCTCTCCCTCAGACGCTTGATTTACTCCCCTTCCCTTTCTGCCATGATTCTTCTGCTTCCTCCCAGCAAGTCTGCAAGCATTAACGAGCTCTGCCCTCCACAGCTCACCCACAGAGGCTAATCTGCTTCAGGCAAAGGGGGAGTTACAGCAGGTGTGCCCTGGAGAGGAAGATTGGCCTCAGCAGCCAAAGGCAGGAGGAGTGGCCTGCAGGCTGGGAGGAGAGGGGCCACCCACTAATTGATTAGCCTGGAAATTCTGTGGAGAGTTATGGTGGCCTCTGAAACCACTGGCCCCTTGAGGACTCCTCAGTCCTCAGCTAGTGCAGCCTCCCCTCCTCTCTTGTGCTAGAGAACTGAGTAGGAGAGGGGGCATCGAGGTGTGTGGGAAGCCAGAACTGAGGTAGATGCCTCTCAGTGTGGTGACTGGCTGTGCTGGTCTGCTGTGCTCAGAGGATGATGCTGTCACTCCCCTGCCCCTTCTATGCAGGATGGCATGTGAGGGACGGGGTGTGTTAGTGACCCTGGCCTCTTCTCCCTGGTTTTTCCCACCCTGAGCTACAACCATCACCCCTAAAGCTGCGACCTCACCATGTGATTCCTCTGCTCGGGGAAGAGCTCTTCCTCCTAATTCCACTGTGAGCAGTGAAGTGGAGCTGCGGGTGCCCTTCCCTGAGCTCCAGGCCTGCCTCAACCTCTGAGGTCCCACCTCACCCAGAACCTGGGGGAGGAGAGGAAGGGCTGGAATTGCCAGCAGATTTGCTCCAGGACAGTAGGTTCAGGGATCGTGGCAGCCGAGCCTCACACCCCATGTGGAGCTGTTCTTTGTGGACTTCAGGGTTGGCGCTCTCTGTTACTCCTTTGCTCAGGTTGGAGTTGTGGGGATCTCAGCCTTGTCCAGCTGGTGTCAGAGCAAAATGACTTCTGTTCCTTGTTCTGAAGCCTTTTGACTGTCGTGTCCTCATTGGCCTCGGCAGAGTAGCCCTCCTGGATCTGGAGGGGCCAACCTAACTTCCCAGGCTGGACCAGTTTCTCCTGAGGACAGTCTTGTTCTCTCATCTTTCCTTTCTCTACCTGGGCCATATGCCTTTTAGTTCTTGTGGAACTGATAGTCACGTCCCATGGAATGAACTTCTCTAGCTTGACTATTCATTCACTTGATAATATTTACTCAGCATATGGGGTCCCAGCCTTGTTGATCTCTGAGGAGTGTCAGAGAAGTTGTGGAATGAGTGAGATATTCAAGTCCCCACTAGCTTTTGACCCTAGGTGAGGCATTTCTCCCCTGTGAGTCTCAGCTTTCTCCCTGGTAAATTGAGAGGAGTAAACTGATGATTCTTTCATGTTTGAGGGTATAAAGTTTTGAGGATGCACATTTCATAGTTAACAGGTTGCGGGGAGAAGACTTGGGCACAGCAAGTTACAGTGCTTGGCAATAAGTGCCCTAGGTACTGAAATGAAACTGCACCTGTGGCTTGAGTGTTCAGGGAGAACTTCCGGGGGGAAGTGGTATTTAAACAAGAAGAAAAGTGGAAGGATTTGGGCATGTGGGAAGTACCTGGGAACCATAGTTTATGCAGAAGTGATAGTGGTGGCCCATCTGGAGCAGCTGCTGCGGGGATGCCAGCTGCAGCAGGGGAGGTGCGGCCAGGGCTGCGTGCTCGGTGGAGCTGGCAGGGGCTGGGAAGAGGTGGGAGCCCCACCCCCTACCAAGTTGGTGAGGCAGGAGCCCCACACTCCTAGGCGCAGCTGCAGCTGCCCAGCCGTGGCTCTGGACCCAAGCATCCCTGCACTCTTAGGGGTCCAGGAAGCCCCCTGCCCCCACGGGCTTGAAAGTGCCTGCTCTGCTCTGGCCTCTCCCTACTCCTGGCACCTGCTCCAGGGCAGAGCAAAGTTGTGGCCGAGCCTGGGCATTGTTGCAACCCAGCCAGGTGTGCACACACTCAGGGGGCTGACGTGCCAGCCCCCTGCTGCCTCTGCCCCCTCCAGACTTTGGACACCAAAGAGTGTGGGAGGGGAGTCTGGGGAGGGCGGTGTGAGGGCAGCTTGGCATGGGCCTACAGATGCCTCTCAGTGTGGACAGCCTGGGTACCACAGACAGCATGTAAAAGGCAGACAGGTTCCTAGGTGGGAAGGGGCAGGTCCTGGTGAAACCCCACCTTCAAGCCAGGGATGGCCTGAAGCCTGGGGGCCAGGCTGCCGGTTCCAGGTGAAGTCAGCAGCCTGGTGTGCGAACCTCATTGATGACCATTCAGCCAATCAGATGGTGCTTTCATTTCTCCTTGTTATGTTTTCATTTCTCCTTGTTATGTTTTCATTTCTCCTTGTTATATACCTAGGAACAGAACTGCTGGGTCAAAAGGTGGTTATATGTCTCACTTTCTTAGAAACTGATAAATAGTTTTCCAAAATGGTCAGACTAGTTTACATCCCCTTTGGAATATTTGAGAGTTCCAATTTCTCGACATTCTTGTCAACACCTGGTATTATCAATTTTTAATTTTAGCCTTTCTACTGGCCCTGTCATACTGGATTATATCATCTTTTTCTTTATCTGTATGGTCTCAGCT
Source organism: Homo sapiens (assembly GCF_000001405.40). NCBI lineage: Eukaryota > Metazoa > Chordata > Mammalia > Primates > Hominidae > Homo > Homo sapiens. Next base: position 3,377,706 of record NC_000017.11, on the reverse strand, counting down.
ATCCTCAGAGTCTTCTTTTCCCCAGAGAAGTGCCTGCAGCCCTCACCTTGGTGTCATCTCCCTGGTCAATGGAACAGCTTGGTAGAGGAGACTCAGCAGCCCCCGTGCTGTACGTAGTAGTCATGGCCATGCCAAACCCATTCATCTAAAGCCCGAGGAACAAACGCCTGAAGGAGTCTTCGGGGATAAATCTCAGGGCCAAAATGGTCTCTTCCACTTACAGTCTCAGTGAGGTAGGCAAAGAATGTGGGCCCATTAAGGAAGAGAGAGAATAAAGCTAATAAAATAAGCAACAATAATAATGATAGCAGCTACCCTTTATTGAACACCTACCAGACATTGCCTTTATTGCTTATATATTGTCATTTAATATTCCTAACAGCTTCATGAAGTAGGGCATTATTATTTTCATTTTATAAATGACCAAACTGAGGCTGGGAAATGCTAGGAAAATGGCGGTTAGGAGACGGGACTAACATGCAGCTCCCCCTTGGTTGGACAGAACACCGTGTGGAGACTCACATTGTGAACTTTCTCTACAAGAATCACTACAGGAAGATACAAGCAAAACCAAAAGAATTCACATACCCTTTGAAAGAAGCAGCTTGCCGCTGCAAACTCTGCAAGGCAGCTGAAAAACTGAGTTTTCAATGTGTGAGAGGGAGAAAAGTCTGCCTCCAAACCCACATCCCCACTAGGGAACCTGAAAATCAGATCATGGGAGAGAAGGATTTAACCTTACCTAGAGCTAAAGCAGATTTAAGGAACCGAGCAAAATATAAAAGTAGAAGAAGCAATAGAAAGAGCCCTGTAGGCACCCCTGGTCTCCAGTCCAAGCCCAGGGAAGCCATCCCTGGCCTTATCTCACAGGGATCCTTGGGAAAGGCAGCCAGCAGAATTGGGGGAGGGGCCAAAGGGTGAAGGAAGCTTCTAGCTGACCTCTGTAATAAGGCAGGCAGGGAGAGGCAAGACCTGATAGCCCTGCTTGCTTTCTCAGTGGGGAGGCTGGTAGCCTGGGGGAAGATCTCAGCCCTGCTGCCTGGACATAAACTCAGTGCTATTGGTGGGTCATGATGGGAGTGAGACTGGCCTTTCTGGCTGCATGGAAGCTGGGTGACACCTGTCACTGCTGGTTTTCCCCACTTCCCTGGTGATATGTATGATGCAGCAAAGGCAGCCATATTCCCCCTGGGAACATAACTCCAGTGGTCTGAGAACCACCCCTTCCGTCCCCCACAGTGGCTGCAGCAAGCCCTGCCCAAGGAGAGTCTGTGCTCAGACCCACCTAACCCTGCCTTCCCCTGATGGTTTTTCTCTACCCACCCTGGTAGCCAAAGACAAAAGACATAAATGGGAGCTCTGTGGCCCCAACCGTCACCTGAGAAACCCCATTATTTATCCTGGCCAATGTAGGGCAAGCTTATATCCCCCTTCTACTATCGTAGCTGGTGCTCTCTTGAAAGTGCCACCTCCTGGCTGGGGGCCAACAATCTAAAGCCATTACAGCAACTCATAAGGAACAAACCTGCTCCAAAGAAGGAGAAAACAATATCTCATTCCACTGTTTGCAACACCCTGGTCAACCAGAGATCCTGAGTTTGTCCATGTGACAGCTTAACTGCTAGCATGACCAGCATTTGAGAAAACCAGTGCACTAAACCAAACTACAACCAAGCACTCCCACAGAGTCCATTTCACTCTTTGCCACCTCCACCAGAGCAGGTACTTGTATCCACTGCTGGGAGACCTGAAGACAGATCACATCACAGGACTCTTTGCAGACATTCCCCAGCACCAGCCCAGAGCCCAGTATCCCTGCTGGGTGGCTAGACCCAGAAGACAAATAACAATCACTGCAGTCTCACTCTCAGGAAGTTCCATCTCTAGGGGAAGGGGGAGAGCACCATATCAAGGGATCACCCCATGGGACAAAAGAACCTGAAGAGCAGCCCTTGAGTTCCAGATTTTTCCACTAAAACAGTCTACCCAAATGAGAAAGAACCAGAAAAGTAATTCTGGTAATATAGCAAAACAAGGTTCTATAACACCCCCAAAAGATCACACTAGCTTTCCAGCAATGGACCCAAACCAAGAAGAAATTACTGGGCCAGGCACGGTGGCTCATGCCTGTAATCTCAACATTTTGGGATGCTGAGGAGGGTGGATCACTTGAGGTGAGGAGTTTGAGACCAGCCTGACCATCATGGTGAAACCCCATCTCTACTAAAAATACAAAATGAGCCAGACATGGTGGCATATGCCTGTAGTCCCAGCTACTAGGGAGGCTGAGGCAGGAGAATCACTTGAACCCAGGAGGCAAAGGTTGCAGTGAATTGAGATCGTGGCACTGCACTTAGGCCTGGGTGACTGAGTGAGACTGTCTCAAAAAGAAAAAAAAAAAAAAAAGGAAGAAATCTGTCAAGTCCAGGTGACCAAGTGAGACTATCTCAAAAAGGGGGGGAAAAAAAAAAAAAAAGAAAAAAAAAAAGGAAGAAATCTCTCAAGCCTGGGCAACTGAGTGAGACTGTCTCAAAAAGAAAAAAAAAAAAAAAAAAAAAAAAAAAAAAGGAAGAAGGCTCTGAATTGCCAGATAAAGAATTCAGAAGGTTGACTATTAAGCTACTCAATGAAGTACCAGAGAAAGATGAACACCAACTTAAGGAAATTAAAAAAAATACAGGATATGAATGAAAAATTCTCTGGAGACCATTATTCTAAGTTAAGTAACTCAGGAATAGAAAACCAAACATTGTATGTTCCCACTCATAAGTGAGAGCTAAGCTATGAAGATGCAAAGGCATAAGAATGATACAATGGACTTTGGGGACTTGGGGGAAAGGGTGGGAGGGGAGTGAGGGATAAAAGACTACAAATTGGGTATAGTGTATAGTGTTTGAGTGATGAGTGCACCACAATCTCAGAAATCACCACTAAAGAACTTATTCGTGAGATGAAACATCACCTGTTCCCAAATAACCTATGGAGCTAAAAAATAAAAATAAATAAAATCTTGAAGGACCATGGGGGAAAATGTCTCCAGAGAAATAGAAACCGTAAAGAAAAGATAATCACAATTTCTGGAAATGAAAGACACACTTAAAGAAATGCAAAATACATTGGGAAGTTTCAACAATAGAATCAAACAGGTGGAAGAAAGAATGTCAGAGCTCGAAGACATGGCTTTCAAATTAACACAATCTGACAAAGACAAAGAAAAATGAATAAAGCCTCCAATAAATTTGGGATTATGTTAAACAACCAAACATAAGAATAATTGGTGTTCCTGAGAAAGAACTGAAATCTAAAAGTTTGGAAAACTTACTGAAGGGAATAATTGAGGAAACCTCCCCTGGTCTTACTAGACATCTAGATGACCAAATACAAGAAGCTCAAAGAACACCCTGGAAATTCATTGCGAAAAGATCATCACCTGGGCAGATAGTCATCAGGTTATCTAAAGTTAAGGTGAAGGAACAAATCTTAAGAGCTGTGAGGCAAAGGCATCAGGTAAACTATAAAGGAAAACCTATCAGATTAACAGCAGATTTCTCAACAGAAGCCCTACAAGCCAGAAGGGATTGGGGTTCTACTTTTAGCCTCCTTGAACAAAATTATCAGCCAAGAATTTTGTATCCAGCAAAACTAAACTTCATGAACAAAGGGGAGATAAAATCTTTCTCAGACTGACAAATGTTAAGAGAATTTGTCACTACCAAACAAGCACTACAAGAAATGCTAAAAGGAGTTCTGGATCTGGTAATAAAACTTTGTAATACAACAAACTGGAACCTCCTTAAAGCATAAATTTCACAGGGCCTATAAAACAATAACACAATAAAAAAGAAACCCAAGGAATTCAGGGAACAATGAGCATGATGAACAGAACACTACCTCACATCTCAGTATTAACATTGAATGTAAATGGCCTAAGTGCCCCAGTTAAAAGATGCAGAATGGAAGAATGAATAAAAATCCACCAAAAAAGTATCTTCTGTCTTCAAGAGGCTCACCTAACGCATAAGGACTCATGGAAACTTAAGGTAAAGGGGTGGAAAAAAATATTCCATGCAAATGGAAACCAAAAGCAAGCAGGAGTAGCTATTTTTATATTAGACAGAACAGACTTTAAAGCAACAGCAGTTAAAAAAGACAAAGAGAGACATTATATAATGATAAAAAGGATTAGTCCAACAGGAAAATATCACAATTCTAACTATATATGTACCGAACACTGGAGCTCCCAAATGTATAAAACAATTACTACTAGAACTAAGAAATGAGATAGATGGCAATACAGTAATAGTAGGGGACTTCAGTACTCTACTGACAGCACTAGACAGGTCATCAAGACAGTCAACAAAGAAACAATGGACTTAAACTATAACCTAGAGCAACTGGACTTAACGGATATTTACAGAACATTCTACCTAACAACTGCAGAATATACATTCTTTTCATCAGCACATAGAACATTCTCCAAGATCGACCACATGATAGGCCACAAAACAAGTCTCAATAAGTTTAAGAAAATGGAAACTATATCAAGTACTCTCTTAGACCACAGTGGAATAAAATTGGAAATTAACTCCAAAAGGAACCCTCAAAACTACACACACGCATGGAAATTATATAAGCTGCTTCTGCATGTTATTTGAGTAAAATCATGATGGAAATTAAAAAAATTATTTCAACTGAATAAGAGTGACACAACCTATGAAAGCTTCTGGGATGTAGCAAAAGTAGTGCTAAGAGGAAAGTTCATAGCATTATATGCCTACATCAAAAAATCCTAAAGAGCCCTCTCCCTCTCCCTCTCCCTCTCCCTCTCCCTCTCCCTCTCCCTCTCCCTCTCCCTCTCCTTCTCCTTCTCCTCCCTCTCCCTCTCCCTCTTTCCATGGTCTCCCTCTGATGCCGAGCCGAAGCTGGACTGTACTGCTGCCATCTCGGCTCACTGCAACCTCCCTGCCTGATTCTCCTGCCTCAGCCTGCCGAGTGCCTGCGATTGCAGGCGCGCGCCGCCACGCCTGACTGGTTTTCGTATTTTTTTGGTGGAGACGGGGTTTCGCTGTGATGGCCGGGCTGGTCTCCAGCTCCTAACCGCGAGTGATCCGCCAGCCTCGGCCTCCCGAGGTGCCGGGATTGCAGACGGAGTCTCGTTCACTCAGTGCTCAATGGTGCCCAGGCTGGAGTGCAGTGGCGTGATCTCAGCTCGCTACAACCTCCACCTCCCAGCCGCCTGCCTTGGCCTCCCAAAGTGCCGAGATTGCAGCCTCTGCCCAGCCGCCACCCCGTCTGGGAAGTGAGGAGCGTCTCTGTCTGGCCGCCCATCGTCTGGGACGTGAGGAGCCCCTCTGCCTGGCTGCCCAGTCTGGAAAGTGAGGAGTGTCTCTGCCCGGCCGCCATCCCATCTAGGAAGTGAGGAGTGCCTCTTCCCGGCCGCCATCCCATCTAGGAAGTGAGGAGCATCTCTGCCCGGCCGCCCATCGTCTGAGATGTGGGGAGCGCCTCTGCCCCGCTGCCCCGTCTGGGATGTGAGGAGCACCTCTACCCGGCCGCGACCCTGTCTGGGAGGTGAGGAGCGTCTCTGCCTGGCCGCCCCGTCTGAGAAGAGAGGAGACCCTCCGCCTGGCAACTGCCCCGTCTGAGAAGTGAGGAGCCCCTCCGCCCGGCAGCCGCCCCGTATGAGAAGTGAGGAGCCCCTCTGCCCGGCAGCCACCCCGTCTGGGAAGTGAGGAGCGTCTCCGCCTGGCAGCCACCCCGTCCGGGAGGGAGGTGGGGGTCAGCCCCCGCCCGGCCAGCCGCCCCGTCCGGGAGGGAGGTGGGGGGGTCAGCTCCCCTCCCGGCCAGCCGCCCCGTCCGGGCGGGAGGTGGTGGGGAGGTCAGCCCCCCGCCCGGCCAGCCGCCCCGGCCAGGAGGTGAGGGGCGCCTCTGCCCGGCCGCCCCTACTGGGAAGTGAGGAGTCCCTCTGCCCGGCCAGCTGCCCCGTCCGGGAGGGAGGTGGGGGGGTCAGCACCCCCGCCCGGCCAGCCGCCCCGTCCGGGAGGTGAGGGGCGCCTCTGCCCGGCCTCCCCTACTGGGAAGTGAGGAGCCCCTCTGCCCGGCCAGCCACCCCGTCCGGGAGGGAGGTGGGGGAATCAGCCCCCCGCCCGGCCAGCCGCCCCGTCCGGGAGGGAGGTGGTGGGGTCAGCCCCCCGCCCGGCCAGCCGCCCCATCCGGGAGGGAGGTGGGGGGATCAGCCCCCCGCCCAGCCAGCCACCCCGTCCGGGAGGGAGGTGGGGGGGTCAGCCCCCTGCCCAGCCAGCCACCCCGTCCGGGAGGGAGGTGGGGGGGTCAGCCCCCCGCCCGGCCAGCCGCCTCGTCCGGGAGATGAGGGGCACTTCTGCCCGGCCGCCCCTACTGGGAAGTGAGGAGCCCCTCTGCCCGGCCAGCCGCCCCGTCCGGGAGGGAGGTGAGGAGGTCAGCCCCTCGCCTGGCCAGCCGCCCCACCCGGGAGGTGAGGGGCGCCTCTGCCCGGCCGCCCCTACTGGGAAGTGAGGAGCCCCTCTGCCTGGCCACCACCCCGTCTGGGAGGTGTACCCAACAGCTCATTGAGAACGGGCCATGATGACAATGGTGGTTTTGTGGAATAGAAAGGGGGGAAAGGTGGGGAAAAGATTGAGAAATCGGATGGTTGCCGTGTCTGTGTAGAAAGAGGTAGACATGGGAGACTTTTCATTTTGCTCTGTACTAAGAAAAATTCTTATCCTGTTGATCTGTGACCCTACCCCCAACCCTGTGCTCTCTGAAACATGTGCTGTGTCCACTCAGGGTTAAATGGATTAAGGGCAGTGCAAGATGTGCTTTGTTAAACAGATGCTTGAAGGCAGCATGCTCGTTAAGAGTCATCACCACTCCCTAATCTCAAGTACCCAGGGACACAAACACTGCGGAAGGCCGCAGGGTCCTCTGCCTAGGAAAACCAGAGACCTTTGTTCACTTGTTTATCTGCTGACCTTCCCTCCACTATTGTCCTATGACCCTGCCAAATCCCCCTCTGCGAGAAACACCCAAGAATGAACAATAAAAAAAAAAATCCGAAAGAACAAATAGACAATCTAAGTTCACACCTTAAGGAACTAGAGAAACAAGAACAAACGAAACCCAAACCCAGCAGAAGAAAAGAAATAACAAAGATCAGAGCAGAATTAAATGAAATCCAAACAAAAAATACAAAAGATAAATGAAACAAAAAGCTGGTTCTTTGACAAGATAAAGAAATTGATAGACCATTCTTGAGATTAACCAAGAAAAGAAGAGAGAAAATCCAAATAAGCTCACTTAGAAACAAAATGGGAGATATTACAACTGATACCACAGAAATACAAAAGATCATTCAAGGCTACTGTGAACACCTTTATGCACACAAACTAGAAAACCTGGAGGAGATGGAGACATTCTGGAAATATACAACCCTCTTAGATTAAACCAGGAAGAAATAGAAACTGAACAGACCAAGAACAAGTAGCAAGATTGAAACAGTAATTTAAAAAATGCCAACAACACAAAAAAGTCCAGGACCAGATGGTTTCACAGCTGAGTTCTATCAGACATCCAAAGAAGAATTGGGCTGGGCACTGTGGCTCACACCTGTAATCTCAGCACTTTGGGAGGCCAAGATGGGCAGATCACTGAGCTCATGAGTTCGAGACCAGCCTGGGCAACATGACGAAACCCATCATCTACAAAAAATACAAAAATTAGCCATGCGTGGTGGCATGCGCCTGTAGTCCCAGCTACTCGGGAGGCTAAGGTGGGAGGATAGCTTGGAC